>NC_000007.14:89173445-89476475 GCF_000001405.40 Homo sapiens
TGACTCAGCAATCCCACTTTAGAAAACAAGTTAAAGAATATTTATTGCAGTTTTGTTCAATTTAGTTTCAAACTAGAATTAACCTGAATGTGCTTCAAGAATGAAATGGATAAATAAATAGTGCTATATTTCTAAAATAGAATACTGTATCAGAGTGAAATGAATAAAATATTGTCACAGGCGGTCATATGAATGGCTCTGAAAACCATAAATGTGAGCAAAAGAAACCAGACACATATGCTGATGAATCCACCTGTTATCTGTCTTCTGTCTATCCATCCATTTATCATCCATCCATTTATCCATCCATCCATCCATCCATCATCTAGCTGTATATCTAATCAACACAAGCAAAATTGGCCTATAGTGGGATGAAAAGTTAGAGTAGTGATTCTTATGATGAAAAGGGACTGTGACACAGCATGATGGATATTACAGAACTCTAACAATATTCTATTTATCTTTTTTAATGTTCAAATGATATTTTTATTTATATTTTTAATTTTTACAGGTACTTAGTAGGTATATATATTTATGGGGTATGTGAGATATTTTGTTACAGGCATTCAATGTGTAGTAATTACATCAGGGTAAGTAAGGATCCATCGCCTCAAGCATTTATCATTTCTTTGTGTTACAGACATTCCGATTATACTGTTTTAGTTCTTTTAAAATGTATAAGAGATCAATGTTGAATGTACACAACTTTTTGTGCTATCAAGTACTAGGTCTTATTTATTCCATCTAACTATATACTTTTCTGCCCATTAACAATCTCCACTTACTCTCATCCCACCACTCACTACCCTTCCCAGCCTCTGGTAACCATCCTTCTACTCTCCATCTCCCTGAGTTTAATTGTTTTAATTTTTGGCTCCCACAAATGAGTGAGAGCATGCAAAATTTGTTTTTGTGTGCCTTATTTATTTCACTTAATATATTCTACAGTTCCATCTATGTTGTTGAAAATGACAGGATGTCATCCCTTTCCTTTTTTATGGCTGAATAGTACTCCATTGTGCATATGTACCACATTTTCTTTATCTCTCTGTTGATGGACACACAAGTTAATTCCAAATTTTGCTTACTGTGAATAGTGCTGCAATAAACATGGGAGTATAGGTATCTCTTCAACATACTCATTTACTTTCTTCTGGGTATATACTTAAAAGTTAGATTGCTGGATCTTATGGTAGTTCTATTTTTGCTTTTTTGAGGAACCTCCATAGTACTCTCCATAGTAGCTGTACTAATTTACATACCCACCAACAGGGTATGAGGGTTTCCTTTTCCATATCTTTGCCAACATTTGTTATTGCCTGTCTTTTGTATAAAAAACACATAACTAGGGTGACATTATAACTCATTTTAGTTTTGATTTGCATTCCTATGATGTTCAAGGATGTAGAGTGCCTTTTTACATACCTGTATGCCATGTTTATGTCTACTTTTGAGAAATGTCTATTCAGATATTTTGCCAATTTTTAAATTGAAACATTATTTTTCTATTGAGTTGTTTGAGCTCCTTATATATTCTACTTATTAAATTCTTGTCAGATGGATAGTTTGCAAATATTTTCCCTCATTTTGTGCATTGTTTCTTCACTTTGTTGATTGTTTCCTTTGCCATGCAGAAGCTTTTTAAGTTGATGTGATCTTATTTATCCATGTTTGCTTTGGTTGCCTGTGCTCAATAAATCTTTGCCCAGACTAATGACCTGGAGAGTTTCCCCAAAGTTTTCTTTTCATATTTTTATGGTTGGAGGTCTTAATTTAAGTCTTTAATTCATTTTGTTTTGATTTTTTCATATGATGAGCAATAGGGGCCTAGTTTTATTCTTCTGCATATGGATATCCAATTTTCTCAGCACCATTTATTGAAGACTGTCCTTTCCCTAATGTATGTTCTTGGCACCTTTGTCGAAAATGAGTTCATTGTAGATGTAGGGATATTTTTTTCCGGGTGCTCCATTCTATTTCATTGGTCTATGTGTTTTTATGTCAGTACCATGCTCTTTTGGTTGCTATATTTCAGTAAGATAATTTGAAGCTAGGTAATGTGATTCTTCCAGTTTTGTTCTTTTTGCTCAGGATAGCTTTGGCTATTCTAGCTCTGTGATTCCATATACATTTTAGGATGACTGTTGCTATTTCTGTGAAGAAGTTCATTGGTATTTTGGCAGGGATGCATTCAATGTGTAGATTGCTTTTGGTAGTATGCACATTTTAACAATATTAACTCTTCCAATCCATGAGCATAAAATATCTTTTCACTTTCTGTGTCCTTTTCAATATTTTTCATCAATATTTTATAATTTTTATTGTAGCAATCTTTCACTTATTTGGTTAAATGTATTCCTAGGTATTTTATTTTGTTTATAGCTTTTGTAAATTAGATTACTTTCTTGATTTCTTTTTCATATTGTTCACATTTAAATGCTACCAATTTTTCTATAATGACTTTGTATCCAGCATCTTTAATGAATTTGTTGATTAGTTCTAATAGTTTCTGGTAGATTACTTAGATTTTTCCCAAATATAAGATCATATCATCTGAAAACAAGGATAATTTGACTTCCTATCAAGTTTGGAGGCTCTCAATTTCTTTCTCATGTCTAATTGCTCTAATTAGGACTTCCAGTATGATGTTGAATAACAGTGCTGAAAGTGAGCCTCCATGTTGTGCTCTAGATCTTAGAGGAAAGGCTTTCAGTTTCTCCCCATTCATGATACCATGAATGGGTATCATGGTATATGGGTGTATGGTCTGTATATGGGTCTGTCATATACAGCTTTTATTGTGTAGAGGTATGTTCATTCCATACCCAGTTTTTTGAGGGATTTGTTTTTAATCATGAAGAGAGGTTGAATTTTATGAAATGTCTTGTCAGTATCAGTTGAAGTGATCATATGATTGTGTTTTTCATTCTGTTGATATGATGTAGCACATTGACTGACTTGCATATGTTAAACCATCTTTGCGTGATTGGAATAAATCTCACTTGGTCATGATGAATGATCTTTTTAATGTGTTGTTGAATTTATTTTTAAAAAATATTTTTTTGAGGATTTTTGCATCAGTGTTTATCAGAAATATTGGCCTGTGGTTTTCTTTCTTTTCTTTTTTTTCTTTCTTTCTTTCTTTCTTTTTTTTTTTTTTTTTCATGTTTCCTTGCCTGGTTTTGGTATTAGGGTAATACTAGCCTCACTGAACAAGTTTGGAAGTATTTCATTTTTCTCTATTTTTTGGAATAGTTTGAGTAGGATTGGTATTAGTTCTTTAAAAGTTTGGTGTAATTCAGCTGTGAAGTTATATGATCCCAAGTTTTTCCTTGGTGGGAGACTTTTTATTACAGCCTTGATCTCATTATTTGTTATTCATCTTCTCAGGTTTTGAATATCTTCATGGTTCAATCTTGGTAGGTTGTATGTATGTAGAATTTGGCCATTTCTTCTAGGTTTTCAAATTAACTGGCATATAGTTGCTCATAGTAGTCTGTAATGATTATTTGAATTTCTGTGGCATTAGTTGTAATATCTCCTTTTTCCTGTCTGATTTTATTTACTTCAGTCTTCTCCTTTTTTTGTTAGTCTGGCTAAGCTTTTGTTTATTTTGCTTATCTTTTCAAGAAGAAACTTCATTTCATTGATATTTTGTATTTTTTGTTCGAATTTATTTCTGCTCTGATTTATATTTTCTCTACTAATTTTGGGAATAGTTTGCTTTTGCTTTTTTAGTTATTTAAGATGCATCATTAGGTTGTTTATTTGAAGTTTATCTTCTTTTTTGACATAAGCACTTATAGCTAAAACATAAACTTTCCTCTTAGTACTACCTTAGCTGTATCTCACAGGTATTGGTGTGTTGTGTTTTCATTTTCATTTAAGACACTTTAAAAATTTTTCTTCTTAATTTCTTCATTGGCTCACTGGTCTTTTAGAAGCATATTGTTCAATTACCATGCGTTTGTATAGTTTCTGAAGTTCCTCTTGTTACTGATTTGTAGTTTTATTCCCTTGTGATTAGATACTTGATGTGATTTCCATTTTTTCGAATGTTTTAATGCTCGTTTTGTGGCCAAATATGTTATATCCTTAAGAATTTTACATGTGCTGAGGACAATGTGTATTCTGCAGCCATTGAATGACATGTTATATAGACATCTATTAGGTCCATTTGGTCAATACTGCAGAATAAGTCTTAGGTTTCTTTGTTGATTATCTGTCTAGGTGATCTGTTCAATGATGAAAATGGGGTGTTGAATTCTCCAGCTATTATTGTGTTGAGGTCTCTCTCTTTGGCTCTAATAATATTTGCTTTATATTGGCCAGGTGCGTTGCTCACGCCTGTAATCCCAGCACTTTTGGAGGCCAAGGCGGGCGGATCACGAGGTCAAGAGAATGGCATGAACCTGGGAGGCAGAGCTTACAGTGAGCCGACACAGCGCCACTGCACTCCAGCCTGGGTGACAGAGCGAGACTCTGTCTCAAAAAAAAAAAAGAACAAAAAACAAATATTTGCTTTATGTTTATAATTACTATATCCTCTTGATGAATTGACCCCTTTATCAATATTTAATGACATTTTTGTCTCCTTTTTTGTTTGTTGTCTTGAAATTTATTTTATTTGCTATAAATATAGCTGCTCCTGCTTTGTGGCTTCTATTTGCATGAAGTATCTTTTTCTATTCTTTCATTTTTAGTCTTTGTGTGTCTCTATAGGTGAAGTATATTTCTTGTAGGCAGCAGATTGTTGGGATTGCATTTCATCCATTTACATACTCTATGTCTTTTGATTGGGTAGTTTCATCCATTTACATTTGAGGTTATTATCGATAAGCAAGGATTTACTCCTGCCATTTTTTTTTTCTGGTGGTTTTGTGGTTTCTTTTCCTTCCTTTCTTCCTTCCTTCTTATAAAATTTATTTTTTATAGTGCTATATTTTAATTTCTTGATTTTTATTTTTTGTGTATCTGTTGTAGTTTTTAAAATTTGAGAGGACTATGAAGCTTGCAAATTACTTCTTATAACCCATCATTTTAAACTGATGGTGACACTGATTGCAAAAACAAACAATAAAACATGCAAAGTGAAAACTAATAAAAACTCTACACTTTAACTTCATCTTTCCACTTTTTGACTTTTGTTTCTTTTTGTGTCTTATTATACTGTTTATATCTTGAAAAGTTGTCACAGTTATTATTTTTGATCATTTCATCTTTAAGTCTTTCTACTCAAGATATGAGAAGTTTAGATACCACAATTACGGTGTTATAATATTCATATTTTTCTTTGTGCTTACTATTCCCAGTGAGCTTTTTGCATTTAAAAGATTTCTTATTGCTTATTAACATCTGTTTCTTTCATATTGAATAGCTCTCTTTAGCATTTCCTGCAGAACAGGTCTCCTGTTTATAAAATCCTTCACCTTTTGTTCGTCTGGGAAAGTCTTTATCTCTCCTTCATGTTTGAAGGATATTTTTCTGGAACAATTGATTCTAAGAGAAAATATTTTTTCCTTCAGCATTTAAAATATGTCATGCCACTCTCCTAACCTGTAAGGTTTCTATTGATAAGTCTGTTGTCAGATATTTTGGAACTTCTTTGTATGTATTTGTTTCTTTTGTCACTTTTAGGATTCTTTCTTTATCCTTGGCCTTTGGGAGCTTGATTACTAAATGTTTTGAGGTAGTTTTATTTGGGTTAAATCTGCATGGTATTTAATAACCTTCTTGTACTTGGATATTGATATCTTTCTCTAGGTTTGAGAAGTTCTCTGTTATTATCTCTTTGAATAAACTTTCTACTCCAATCTCTCTACTTCCACTGTAAGGCCAATAACTTAGATTTGCCCTTTTGAGGCTACTTCCTACATTCGTAGGCATGTTGAATTCTTTTATATTCTTTTTTTGTCTCCTCCGACTGTCTTTAAGCTCACTATTTCTTTCTTCTGTTAAAAAAAAAATCTGCTATTGAGAGACTCTGATGCATTCTTCAGTATAGCAATTAAATTTTTCAGCTCCAGAATTTGGTTGATTTTTTAAAAGTATTTAAATCTTTCTGTTAAATTTATCTCATATAATTAATTCCTAATCTGTGGTATCTTGAATTTTGTTTAACTTTCTTAAAACAGCTATTTTAACTTATCTGCCTGAAAGGTCACATATTTCTGACACTCCAGGATTAGTCACTGGTGCCTTACTTGGTTTGTTTTGTGAGGTCATGATTTTCTGGATGATCTTGATGCTTGTGGGTGTTCATCAATGTGTGGGCATTGACGACTTATGTATTTGTTGTCCTCATCACAGTCTGGGCTTGTTTGTACACGTGTTTCTTTAGAAGACTTTCCAAATATTCAAAGGGAATTGTGTGTTGTGATCTAAGTTTGGTCTCTGCAGCCACATCTGCATTAGAGGGTGCCCCAAGCCCAGTAACACTGTGACTCTTATTGACTTGTAGAGATACTTCCCTGGTCATCTTGGCTACTATCCTGGAGAATTACCCAGATTATCATTCAGAGTCTCTTGTCCTCTTCCCTTACCTTTTCCTAAACTAACTGAGTCTCTTTCTCCATGCTATCCTGCCTGGAGTTTGGGGAGGAGTGAAACAGGAGTCCCTGTGTCCACCACACTGGGACCATGCTGGGCCAGACTTGACGTCAGCACAGTACTGAGTCTCACCCAAAGCCTGTGTTGACTATTGCTTAGCTACCATTGAGATTTATTCAAGGTCCAAGGGCTCTTTAGATAGCAGATGGTAAAGCCAGCCAGGGTTGTGTCTTTCTCTGCAGGGCAACAGGTTCCTTTCTGGCCCAGGGTTGGTCTAGAAATGCTGTCTGATAGCTAGGGCCTGAAGTCAGGAACATTAGGAATTTACTTGGTGCTTTAGTTTGCTGCAGCTGAACTTATACCCAAATTGAAAGACTAAGTCCTTTTTACTCTTCTGTTTCCTTTCATCAAGCAGAGTGAGTCTTGCCCCATGTTCACGCCCACCCCAGGCCAATGGTGGGTACTGCCTGAATCCTGATAATGCATATTCAAGACCCAAGAAAGAACTGGGTCCTTTCTTTCAAGGCAATGGGCTCCCTCCTGGCTCAAGGTGTGTCTAGAAATGTTGTCCAAGAGCTAAGCCTACAATGGGGGTTTCAGGACTCTGCTTGGTGCTTTATTTTACTGTAGCTAAGCTGTTATCCAAGTTGTATGACAAAGACTTCTTTACTCCTCTCCTTCCTCTGCTCAAGTGGAAGAAAATAGTCTCTCCTGGAAATGTTAGCTGCACTGCCTGGGGTTAGGGAAAGGGTGATGCAAGCACTCTCCTGGCTGCCCTGGCTGGTGTCTCACTAGGTCATGTGCCCTGTGAACAGAGGACAGCACCAAGACTTGCCCAGGAATTGCATTCCTTGTGATCTAGAATGCCTTTTGTGTTTATTTAGGACACCAGAGTGCTTTAGCCTGTGGTAATGAGGCTAACTGGAACTCAGGTTCTGACAAGTGAGATGGGGAGTCACCCTCTGGCTAGTGCTGGCCTGAATGCTCCCTCTGTGGGTATTGGTCTGAAATGGGGGCCTTAAAACTCTGCCTGGTACCCTACTCTACTGTGGCTGAGCTAGTATCCAAGTTGAAAGGTAATGTCCTCCTTATTCTCCCCTATCTTTTCCTCAAGTGGAAGGAAAGAGTCTCTTCCTAAACTGTGAGCTGCACTATCTAGGGTTGGGGATGGGGTAACATAAGCACTCCCTTGGCTGCCCCAGTTGGTGTCTCACTGGGTTGTGTGAACCCCAAGTCCACTGACTGCAAGCCCAGCATGGCACCAGGACTTGCCTAGGAATTGCATTCCTTGTGGCTTAGACATTCTTTCAAATTTACGTAGGACCCCAGCGCACTTTAGCCCATGTTGACGGGGCTAGCCATAACTTATGTTCTGACTTCTGGGATGGACAATTCCTCTCTGGCTAGGGCTAGTCTAAATGCTGCCACCATGAGTGCAGGCCAAATTATGCCTTGTGTTGCTTGCGCTATAATAGAGCAGCACTGAGTTCCAATGCAATGTCCCACGGTCCCTGCAGTCTCCCTTCCCCAAGCACACAGATTATTTCTTCGTGCCATGCAGACACTTCTGCGGAATGGGGGAGGGGTGGTCTCCACAATTCAAGACTGTCTTTCTTCAGTGGCTCTTTCCTTGATATCATGTTAAAACCAGGTACTGTGATTGCTCACCTTGTTTTCAATTCTTATGAAGTTATTTTTTGTGAGGATAGTTGCTCAATTTGCTATTCCTATAGGGGTTAAAAATCACTAAAGGATTCTATTTAGCCATCTTGTTTTGCCTACTCCCTTAAAGTTCTATTGATCGGGTTGCTGGCTATAAGGATGTGTTTACTTCATGAAAACTCACTGATCTTATGATTTGTTCCCTTATTGTGTATAATTTATGTTGTAATAAAATATGCACTTTAAAAAATTTGTGTGCTAAGAGCAACATCCTAAGAGACCCTTTATATACCAGTTTATTCTCTATTTTGAACCAGACCAATAGAATGCTTTAATATTTCAACCTGTAATCTTTCTGAATTGACAACTAATTGAAATGGAAACTGCAGCAAATTAACATTGAGCAGATGACATTTAATTCAAACAGTATCAAATAGGAAATTACCCTTTCTTTAAAGTGCTATTACAAAGAGGTATGCTACCTAATCATAGATATTAAATCACTAATTTTTATTCATTCTGTTTTCAAGAAGCATAGTATTGTGGATATAATTTATGCGTCTAAAATTGAGATGCCATGTAAAAGACACTTAGAGATATGTTAAAGCACTTATTCCGAAGACTAAGCTAATTTGAATTTGACCTTTTCAGCAATCAAAATTCTGCTAATACAGCATATTTTCCTGTTCATAAAAAGATATGTGACAATAGAAAAATTTAGTTCAATATATATCAAAACATGGAGAGGGAAGACTAACACAGTTGTAGCTACTGTCCTTGATAATCCCATGATAATAAAAACCCCATTAATATTTCCCTCTTGCTGTTGACCAACACTCTTGAGGGAATGTGTTTTCTAATTAATTATCAGAAGCACAATTTTGAAATTACATAAAAGAAGAACAATTAAGTTCACTTTTTCTTGATGACCTTGTACAAAATAAACTTGCCCATTACTCCAGAGAACTCAAAAAGGAGCTGAGTTTCTTCTCTCCATTACTGTAACAGTAGGTAGTATAGAGCTGTGCAATGGTTATGGAAAATTATTATTCTCTGGAAATTATTAGAATTGAATGGAATGTTTTTATTGCTGATTCATATACTCTGATTTGAGCGCCAATCATCTGCTTCTGCACAGGATTGTACTTTGGTTACATCTAGAGTTACTTTGCCCATTTCTTAGGGGAAGATATTTTTTCAAAAACATATATGAGTGCATTGCATGTCTACTCTGCACCAGAAAATTTGTTAAATTCTAGCAAGATACTGGAATGAATGCATTATCTGTGTTTTCAATAAATTTATACTAAAGACAAGGCATAAATGCAAGGAAGAAATTAAGAAATTGATACAGGTTATATGTAAAGAATAAAATACAATGGGGGCTCATGTCTGGTAAAAATTAGTTTTGGCAAAAGTGACCGGAGAAGGCTAATAAGTTGAGCCTTTCATGTTGGCTAAAATATAAACATGTGGCAATAGGAGGATAGCATTCCTGGAAGAAGAGTTAGAACAAGGTGCAGTGGAGAAAAAAAATGGGTATTAATAGTAATAATGAGTCATAAACCTTGACAGGAACATAAGCTATGTATGGGAGCACCCTGAGGAACAGACCAAAAAGTGTACCGAAGCCAGATCCTGGAGAAATTAAACATTTGTATGTTGTTCATTAGATAAGTGACCTAAATGGTATTCATTTTATGGTAATTATATTTAAATTAAACTAGAGAGTAAAAAAAAAGATCCTAAAAACGCCAAAGAAGTAATCGAATTTGGTCTGTTCATCTATGCAGGAGAAAAGTAAGGATAAATACTGATATTAAAAAGTCTGCAAAAATCATTTTCTTTTAAAAATTATTTGTTCTTTCTCTCAGGGAGAAATGCTGTAGATTTCTTTCCAATGTGCCTAAACATTTTTCCCCTTAGCTTCAAATACTGCATTCCTAAGTACATCCACAAGTTCAGGTAGAGCAAATCTTAGATGTGTATAAAAAGTTGAATGATTTTAATTTTCAAATAATACCTTCTTTTATGGCACAATGGCTGTGACAAGATTAGCCAGAATCACAGCACTCATTTTATGAAGAAAAATATGAAGTCAGTGACAGTCATTTTATTTATGCGTCTGTCTGCACATTCACGTCTAAATCCTTCTGGCATTTGAATATACAGCTTCCAAATTCAGGATCTTGTCGGGAGGCATGAGTCATTCAGAATCCAGCAGAAATGACAAGCGCTGGAAAATCTTTTTGTGGGTCCTTAATTTCAGTCTTTTATAGAGTTAGCCTTTTTATAAGCTGATGTCACTGTGGAACCAAGCAAACACCAGTAAACAGGCAAACAGCTTCTTGGCTCTCTAACATGCAAAGGCTGGTCTGGTCTAAGATTAGACATATGGAGGCCGGCTCCAAATTAAATCAGAATAGAATGATGGAATCATTTAGTTTGTGATGTAAGGAGCCCTTAGAGATGGCCTACTTGAGCATTGACACTGTGCAGACATGTTGTGGAGTACTATGGACAAACTTATGGAGTGGTAGGACTGCAATCTCACACACACATATTTTAATCAAAGCAATGTCCTCTGATCTGATCTAATTTAAATACATTTCTAGATTTTCATCTGATGAATAATTCAGAAATCTGCAAACCAAGTCCAGCAGCTTATGGAATCCAGGTTCTAGATTCATCTTATAGATTATGCAACAGTTAGAAAAAGAATAAATGGCATGTGTAGGATCACAGGTTATTTCCCCTCAGCCTTCTCTTAGAGAAGAAAAAATGGTTAACAATGTAGTCTGTAGTATTTATGATAGCGTAAGTTAACTTTAAATGTCAGTTCTTTCTCTTGTTAAGTTCTTTATCAGTTTCGTGTTCATGTGATTTCATGCTTTCTATTTATTAATAATAATTTAGTGCATATGTTTCTCTTTTATTTAAGGAATACTCATAATTCTCTCCCTTTACTACAGAAATGGATTTGATCACTGATTTCTGTTGTTTCTATCACTCTGTGTTATCTTTATGCAAGTTATTCTATCCACCTTTTATCATTTTTAGGAAGTGACTCAAGTTACTCTAGAGAGCTATATTTGGAACAACCCACAAGTTATGTATGAACTTAGATACCAATTTAATATCCATATTATAATTAACATATTTGCCAAAACTAATTGAAATGTACATTTTGACAAAAACGTGTATATTCCTATGGGCAACTAGACAGAATATTTGACTGTTCCAGAAAATCTGGGAGAAAATTTTAATATATTTATGTGGATTTAACAGTGACTTGGCTTAGACAGGTCTTAAGTCAACAGTGACTTAGCTAATGACTTAGACTGACAAGTATTGATCAATGATAAGTATCCATTATTGAATTATGGACTCTAAGGGATACAAAATAAGTAGCAGAAAGAATCTTCTCAATTTTACAAAATAATGAGCAAAATAAAGCATATTTAAAGATAGCAATTAGAGAATGATACACAAATGTAATTACAGCTTACCATATATGTGAACAGATCGATTTCAGAAAGTGAAAGAGAGTTTGGGACAAGGAGTCCATTAAACACATGGCTGAAGCTATAAACTTGATTTGGACTTTGAAGGAAAAATGTAGTTTGGATATAGTACCTAACACAGAAGTCTTACGCATAGAAGATACAAAATATTTCTTGAAGTAAACATTCTTCCAGAGAAGCAGGAAAAGCATGGAGTGACCATGAAGTTTCACTGTTCCTATAAAACAGTGGGAACAGAGAGAACACCCCTGTGCCATAGTAACTCTGAACCTTTTCTGTGTACCTTAGACTTACCCATTTATAAAACAGTTAGTCCAGTAAATAGTGAAAGTGAGAGAAAGTTCGTCTTCAAGTCTCAAAGTAAGCTACTAAAACGACGTATTGAAAAGACAGGATCTGGTCGGGCGCGGTGGCTCATGCTTGTAATCCCCGCACTTTGAAAGGACGAGGCAGGTGGATCAACTGAGGTTGGGAGTTAGAGACAAGCCTGGCCAACATGGTGAAAACCTGTCTTACTAAAAATACACAAATTAGCCAGATGTGGTGGCTTCTGCCTGTAATCCCAGCTACTTGGGAAGCTGAAGCATGAAAATCGCGTGAATCCTGGAGACGGAGGTTGCAGTGAGCCAAAATCACACCACTGCACTCCAGCCTCAGACTACTGACTGCATTCCAGCAACAGACTGAGACCCTGTCTCAATAAGAAAAAAAGAAAAAAAAAAGACACAATTTTAAAAAGTTAGTCCTTATATAAGACTTAGTGCATCCAAAACTGTGGAAGTCATGTAGAATAATACGTTCTTATATTAAAATCTATTATGGCTGCACACAGATATTGACAGGAAAAACTGACCATTTGAAGTTGATACTTATATAGTGAAAAGTTAACTCTTAGGAAGAAAAATATGAAAAATTAACAATCAGAAAGAATATGTACATATTATCAATTTTATTAGTGATAAAATAATTTTGTAAATAGAAATTATAAGAACACCATTTATGCACAAATAAAAAGAAAGTATTTATAAAACAAATTATCCCTAACACAAATGAGACTATCTTAGAAATATTATACACAGTATAGCTAAAAGACTAATTCCTATTCTATCTAAAAAAATAAAATAAAATGGATGCATTTTTAAAAGCAAGTTTGCTCTGACCTACCTAAAAGTTAGGCTTTGGGTGAATAAGAAGATATAACACCTTTTTTATTTTGTATAGAAAAAGTCTTTGCTTGTTTGATATAGTAAGATTTATATGATAGTATTTTATAAGAACTAGCCCCATATTAGCAGAAAAAAAGGTGAAAACAGAAAGAAATAAAGCAATTTCTGTCATGTGGCCAAATGCATGTAGCCAAAACTAAACACTTAAGTATGAATACTTTCAGATTTTATTTTCCCCTGTATTTGCATTGCTTTTAAGTGTTACTTTTTTTTTTTACAATCTTCTTTTGTATATAAAAGGGCAAACAACTTTGTTCGTGTCTGAGGAATAGTTCCTGGTAAACCCTCTTTCAGCCACCTGGTTTTGAAATAAATGACTTTCACTCCTTCTGCAATAGTAATCTGTTCTTGATTTTAAAAAGATGTTTAGAAAAAGAAAACAAAATACTTGTTCACCTACATGAGCCTGGAGTAATATGATATAGCAGTTGTGTTGCATTTTTGGGGAACTGAGAAAATCATTTTTCTTCTGCTCACTTTGAAAATAATAAGAGCCCTTTGCAATGTAATCTCCCTGAGGAAACAACACGGGGACCTCCACAGGCAAACCACTTTTCTAGCCCCTGCCTTTCTAATCTAAATCTTTCCATCAATATCTGATATATTCTGTCAACCTTGATGACTGTCTTGGAATGTAATTCCAAATTTACTCTCAGCATTTTATTTGCAAGAGCACAAATATCAGAGTCCTTTGATTTTTTTAGAGATTGGCTTAATCTTTAACACTAGACTTGGAATGTTGCTATGTGGGGCTCTACATTTGAAAGCAAAACACTTGGCAGGGAATTAACTTTAGCCCTTAGTGGTTGGAATTGACCCCCTCAGTTTCCAAATCTTTTTCTTTTGTTTCTAACATAGAAACTCATTTAAATGAAAGAGAATATATTTTCTTTTGTACAAATTTTGATGGATCATATTCTTTCTCACCAGTCGATTGCAAATGGGAAAGTACATCAGTAAAATCATTACATTTTAGTCACTTATCTTGAATGAGTAGAAACTAAGGGAGCTCCAAACAAACAAACCATGCAGAAAACCAAAATAAAGTAAAAACAGTCTGAACAAGTGGTTTTCACACATTCAAACTATAATTGTAAATCAGATGTCTTTTGGCACAAATTATTAGATTAAAGAAATGTGGGAGATATTAATGTGAGACATAAAATTTACTGTAATCTCTTCTTGTGTCTTGGACTTTGTCTGCAGTGGCAAAGTTTGGAGAAGCAAGTGAGTATTCATTTTTTCTACTGAGTAAATCATTGTGGAAACTAGTGAGCCTGAATATTCAGATTCCTTTCCCTCGAATTCTTGTCTCACTTTCATATTTTATTGTCAAAAATATTATATTAACTGACTTCTTTTTCTCCTCAAACATAACTTTGACATGTAAGGATCTTGTTCCAAAGTAACAAAAGTTAATGACACTGTGTTAGAGTTCAAAAGAAACTTGTCAATTAACCAAACCCCTCTTTTAGAGGTAGGAAAATTGTGAATGAAGGAAGTCATCACTTCTAGCTGGTAGTAAGGCCAGATATAGACCAGAAGTCTCCTTGATCTCCTACCTGAAAACAGGACTTATACCACATTTGCTTGTGTGGGTTGGGAAAGTCATTTGATTGTGTTTCATTTTACTGTGTTTCTCAGATACTGCATTTTTTTTCTTTTTTTTTACAAATTGACAAATTGAAGGTTTGTGGCAATGCCGCATCAAACAAGTCTACATGTGCCATTCTCCCGACAGCCTGTGCTCACTTCTTGTCTCTGTGTTACACTTCGGTAATTCTTACAATATTTCAAACCCTTTCATTATTATTCTATTTGTTATGCTGATCCATGATCAGTGATCTTTGATGTTTATATTGTAATTGTTTGGAGGCACCAAGAACCATGTTCATATAGAACTGTGAACTTAACCAATAAATGTTGTAAGTGTTCTGACTGCTTCACTGAGCAGCAGTTCCCCTATCTCTCTCCTTCTCCTTGGCCCTCCCTATTCCCTGAGACACAATAATATTGAAATTACGTCGATTTTTAATCCTGCAATGACCTCTAAGTGTTTAAGAAATAGGAAAGTCATAGTTCTCTCACTTCAAAGCAAAAGCTAGAAATTATTAAGCTTAGTCAGGAAGGCATGGCAAAAGCTGAGATATGCTGAAAGCGTGGCCACTTGAATCAAACAGTTAGCAAAGTTCTGAATGCAAAGGAAAAGTTTTCAAAGAAAATTAACAGTGCTACTCCAGTGAACACACGAATGATGAAAAAGCAAAACAGCTTTATTGCTAATATGGAGAAAGTTTGAGTGGACTAAAGAGAAGATCAAATCAGTCACAACATTCCCTTAAGCAAAAGCCTAATCCAGAGCAAGGCCTTAACTCTCTTTAATTCTGTGAAAGCTAGGAGAGGTGAGGAAGCTGTAGAAGAAAAGATTGAAGCTAGGAGAGGGTAGTTCATGAGGTTTAAAGAAAGAAGCCATCTCTATAACATTAAAGTTACAAGGTGATGATGTAGAAACTGCAGCAAGTGATCCAGAATATCTAGCTAAGATCACTGATGAAGGTGGCTATACCAGGCAACCGGTTTTCAATGGCAGATGAAAGAGGCTTCTATTGGAAGAAGATACCATATACAACTTTCATAGCTAAAGAGAAGAATTCCTAACAGGGGATAATGTGGCTGGTGACTTTAAGTTGAAGCCAGCATTCATTTACCATTCAGAAAATCCCAGACTCTTGATAATTATGCTAAATCTATTCTGACTGTGCTCTATAAATGCAACAACAAAGCATGGAAGACAACACAACATTTTACATCATGGCTTACTGAATACTTTAAGCCCACTGTTGAGCCCTATTACTCAGAAAAAAAAAGATTAATTTCAAAGTGTTTCTGCCCATTGACAATGTACCTATTCACCCAAGAGCTCTGATGAAGATGTATAAGGAGACTGTTGACCTAAAAGAAGAAGCCAAGGCACAAAATATAATTTTAGGTAGTTTACTTGAACCAAGATGAGGCAGCTGCTCGGAAGCCTCGATCCAAGTAACCTTGTGGTATGAGCCCCATTTGGCCTTTGTTACAAGCAGGTTTTTAGAGGCAAAAAAGACAATGAGCGGGCTGATACAAAGTTATTTTTTAGGAATCCTCATCGGTTTACAGAAATGACAATGATTAGTGATTATCTATACATTGTGAACTAGAGTGTATGGGCCACAGTGTCCAGCATGTGGCATTCTTAGGTTAATTTACAGCTATTTGTGGTGACAGTCTAGAGTGCATACAGCAAGCAGCTTCAAGCGGGGAAGCAGATTGTGACTGCTGCCTCATTCCCATTTCTCTCTGGGACTGATAATTCCAAATGGTTGGAATTCCTCAGATAAATTTTTTTCTTTCTTAAAATTAATGTTTTTATGCTTGCTAACACAACATCCACTCTGTAGCCTATGTAATTTCAACTATCAAGCCCTACTATTTAATGAAATACATTTCATAAATTTATAATGCCATAGATAGTGATTTCTTTGATGGATCCGGGAAAGGTAAATTGAACACCTTCTCCAAAGAATTAATTATTCTAGATGCCATTAAGAATATTCATGTTTCATAGAAAGAGGTTGAAATATCAATATTAACAGAAGTTTAAATAAGTTGTTTCCAGCCCTCATAAACGACTTTGAGGGGTTCAAAACTTCAGTGGAGGAAATCACTGCAGATATGGTTTTAATAGCAAGAAAACAGCCAGGCGCGGTGACGAAACCCTATCTTTACTAAAAATACAAAAATTAGCCGGGCATAGTGGCGCACACCTGTAATCCCAGCTACTCAGTAGGCTGAGGCAGGATAATCACTTGAACCTGGGAAGCAGAGGCTGCAGTGAGCCGAGATCGTGCCATTTCACTCCAGCCTGGGCAACAAGAGCAAAACTCCGTCTTAAAAAAAAAAAAAAAGCAAGAAAACTAGAATTAAAATAGGGGCCTGAAGATATGACTGAATTATTGTGATTTCTTAATAAAATTTTAACAGACAAGGAGTTGCTTCTTATGAATGAGCAAAGAAAGTGGTTTCTTGACATGCCTGAAATGAATCTACTTCTGGTGAAGGTGCTATGAACATTGTTCAAATGACAACAAATAATTTAGAATATTACATAAACTTAGTTGATAACGCAGCTGCAGGTTTTGAGAGGTTTCACTCCAAATTCGAAAGAAGTTCTACTGTGGGCAAACTGCTATCAAACAGCACTGCATGCTCCAGAGGAACTTTTCATGAAAGGAAGAGTAAATCAAAATTGTCAACTGTATTATTATCTAATTTTAAGAAATTGCCACAGATACCCCAACCTTTGGCAATCACCACCCTGATCAGTCAGCAGAAATCAACATCAAGGCAAGAAGACCCTCCCTCAGCAAAAAGATTTTTACTCGCTGAAGGCTCAGATGATTGTTAGCATTTTTTAGCAATAAAATATTTTAAAATTATGCCAGGTACCTTGCTTTATGGAAGTAATGCTATTGCACACATAATAGACTATAGGATACTGTAAATAGAACTTTTATGTGCACAGGAAACCAACAAATACATGTGACTTGCTTCATTGCAATGTTTGCTTTATTTTCAGTGATCTGCAACTGAACCAATGATATCTCCGAGTTCTGCCTGTGTTGCATTTTCTTCATACGAATGAATTTTTAAAGTTATACATTCGATTTAGGAAATAAAAATGTTTCCTAAACAGAGAATCTAAAACAAATACCCAAACTAAATAGAAACAAGTCTTCAAGAACAACATAAATTAAAAACTAGCTATGTAAAGTATTCATATAAAAGACAAAATTATCACATATATTTAAGAAAAGTAAATTTTGAAATTATAAAATAAATATTTGTCAATATATTTAATTTCCAGCATTCATTATGAATCTATGAAATATGCAAACAAGGACAATATGATTAATTTCAATATGATTGTTGATTAGCTCAGCAGCAACTGATAAGTGGCCATAAGGTGCAAGAAATTATCTTTAATAACACAAAATTGCCATCTGAATGCTTTTAAGGCCTCATAAACCCTGATAGAGTGTAAGAAATAGCCCACAAATTATTGAGTTTGCTATCAACTAAATTCTGAATAACTCATCAACTTTTAAGGTTATGACTAGAGGGTATCGATTAACTGTCTTACCCACTGAAGCAGTTGTTATAACTTTAGCAATATTTTAATCTCTCTGTAATGAATCATGAAATCTATATTTTAAAAAAGTATTTGAATGACATTCAGTGGTATTTGCATCATGAAATTAAACATTCATTACCACCACCATAAAGCAAAAATAAAATTTACCACCAGGACAAACAGCCTGTATGAAAACGGAGAAAATTAATTGCCTGAGGACATTATGTAGAAAGCAGAAATGTCAAAGTGTGATAGGTGGCAGAGAGAGAAATGTAAACTGGATGTTTTAGCAGTTCATCCCGTAAGAATAGCTTACATGTTAAATTATACTTTGCTTACAGAAAGGTATAATTTACAAAAACTATGAATATAATTTTCATTTTTTGAATGAAATAAGAAATAATTATAAACTCTAAAAAAAATTGATCCTGTTATGTATGAGATAATATCTGTCTAGAACTTTTCTAAAAATGGGAGCTTAAGGATTCTTATTAGGAGGATGAAAAATAAATTAGACTTATCATTAACTGTTAACAGTTTGTTGAGATATAATACACTACACATATTTAAAGTGCACAGTTTAACCAGTTGTGACAAATGTATGCATCCATGCATCACTAAAATCAAGATAGTTTAATGTATCTATCACCCTTGAGAGTTATCTAATGCCTTTTTAAAATTCCTTCCTTCTCTCTTTTCACCCCCTTTACCCCTGTACCGCTTCTTTCCCTTCCACCCCTCCCTGAGTTCAAAGTACCACTGAAAACAAGCTAATTACCCATCCACAGGGGAATGGATAAAAAACGGTGGTATGTCCATACAATAGAATGCCATTCAACAATGGAAATGAAGAACTGATATGCACAAAATGGATTAAACTAAAAAAAAAAGCTAAGTGAAGTCAGACAAATATAGTGCATGTTCTATGATTCCATTTATATAAAATCTTATGAAATGCAAAGTAACCTATAGCGACTTATTGTTTTTGAAACTACCAGATGTATATTACCATTACCATTTATACTGAAACTATTCCAGAAAATTGGGAAGGAAGGACTCCTACCCAATTCATTCTATGAGGCCATCATCATTCTGACACCATACCTAGCAGGGACACAACAAAAAAAGAAAACTTCAAGCCAGTGTCCATGATGAATATCAATGCAAACATCCTCAACAAAATACTAGAAAACCAAATCCAGCAGCACATCAAAAAGCCTATCCACCATGATCAAATAGTATTTATCCCAGGATGCAAGGTTAGTTCAACATTCATAAATAAATAAACATGATTAATCACATAAACAGAACTACAAACTAACCACATGATTATCTCAATAGATGCAGAAATGGCCTTCAAAAAAATTCAACATCCTTTCATGTTAAAAACTCAATAAACTAGGTATTGAAGGAACATGCCTTAAAATAATAAGAGCCATACATGGCAAACCCACAGCCAATATCATACTGAATGGGCAAAAGCTGGGAACATTCACCTTGAAAACTGGCAAAAGACAGGGATGCCCTCTTTCACCACTCCTATTCAGCATAGTATTGGAAGTCCTGGACAGGGAAATCAGGCAAGAGAAAGAAATAAAGGGCTTCTAAACAGGAAGAGAGGAAGTCAAACCATCTTTGTTTGCAAATAACATGATCCTATATCTAGAAAACCCTATCATCTCAGCCCAAAAGCTTCGTTTTTTTTTTTTATAGTCTACTTTCTATCTTTATTTTTTTTTATTCGTATTATTATACTTTAAGTTTTAGGGTACGTGTGCACAATGTGCAGGTTAGTTACACATGTATACATGTGCCATGCTGGTGTGCTGCACCCATTAACTCGTCATTTAGCATTAGGTATACATCCTAATGCTATCCCTCACCCCTCCCCCCACCCCACAACAGTCCCCAGAGTGTGATGTTCCCCTTCATGTGTCCATTTGTTCTCATTGTTCAATTCCCACCTATGAGTGATAACATGTTGTGTTTGGTTTTTTGTCCTTGTGATAGTTTGCTGAGAATGATGGTTTCCAGCTTC
The DNA here is from genome assembly GCF_000001405.40 of Homo sapiens. Classification (NCBI taxonomy): domain Eukaryota; kingdom Metazoa; phylum Chordata; class Mammalia; order Primates; family Hominidae; genus Homo; species Homo sapiens. The sequence continues at coordinate 89,193,615 of NC_000007.14, forward strand.
ATCCATGTTCCTACAAAGGACATGAACTCATCATTTTTTATGGCTGCATAGTATTCCATGGTGTATATGTGCCACGTTTTCTTAATCCAGTCTATCACTGTTGGACATTTGGGTTGATTCCAAGTCTTTGCTATTGTGAATAGTGCCACAATAAACATACGTGTGCATGTGTCTTTATAGCAGCATGATTTATAGTCCTTTGGGTATATGCCCAGTAACGGGATGGCTGGGTCAAATGGTATTTCTAGTTCTAGATCCCTGAGGAATCGCCACACTGACTTCCACAATGGTTGAACTAGTTTACAGTCCCACCAACAGTGTAAAAGAGTTCCTTTTTCTCCACATCCTCTCCAGCACCTGTTGTTTCCTGACTTTTTAATGATTGCCATTCTAACTAGTGTGAGATGGTATCTCATTGTGGTTTTGATTTGCATTTCTCTGATGGCCAGTGATGGTGAGCATTTTTTCATATGTTTTTTGGCTGCATAAATGTCTTCTTTTCAGAAGTGTCTGTTCTTGTCCTTTGCCCACTTTTTGATGGGGTTGTTTGTTTTTTTCTTGTAAATTTGTTTGAGTTCATTGTAGATTCTGGATATTAGCCCTTTGTCGGATAAGTAGGTTGCGAAAATTTTCTCCCATTTTGTAGGTTGCCTGTTCACTCTGATGGTATTTCTTTTGCTGTGCAGAAGCTCTTTAGTTTAATTAGATCCCATTTGTCAATTTTGGCTTTTGTTGCCATTGCTTTTGGTGTTTTAGACATGAAGTCCTTGCCCATGCCTATGTCCTGAATGGTAATGCCTAGGTTTTCTTCTAGGGTTTTTATGATTTTAGATCTAACATTTAAGTCTTTAATCCATCTTGAATTAATTTTTGTATAAGGTGTAAGGAAGGGATCCAGTTTCAGCTTTCTATATATGGCTAGCCAGTTTTCCCAGCATCATTTATTAAATAAGGAATCCTTTCCCCATTGCTTGTTTTTCTCAGGTTTGTCAAAGATCAGATAGTTGTAGATATGCGGTGTTATTTCTGAGGGCTCTGTCCTGTTCCATTGATCTATATCTCTGTTTTGGTACCAGTACCATGCTGTTTTGGTTACTGTAGCCTTGTAGTATAGTTTGAAGTCAGGTAGTGTGATGCCTCCAGCTTTGTTCTTTTGGCTTAGGATTGACTTGGCGATGCGGGCTCTTTTTTGCTTCCATATGAACTTTAAAGTAGTTTTTTCCAATTCTGTGAAGAAAGTCATTGGTTGCTTGATGGGGATGGCATTGAATCTATAAATTACCTTGGGCAGTATGGCCATTTTCATGATATTGATTCTTCCTACCCATGAGCATGGAATGTTCTTCCATTTGTTTGTATCCTCTTTTATTTCCACCATGATCAAGTGGGCTTCATCCCTGGGATGCAAGGCTGGTTCAATATATGCAAATCAATAAATGTAATCCAGCATATAAACAGAACCAAAGACAAAAACCACATGATTATCTCAATAGATGCAGAAAAGGCCTTTGACAAAATTCAACAACCTTCATGCTAAAAACTCTCAATAAATTAGGTATTGATGGGACATATCTCAAAATAATAAGAGCTATCTATGACAAACCCACAGCCAATATCATACTGAATGGGCAAAAACTGGAAGCATTCCCTTTGAAAACTGGCACAAGACAGGGATGCCCTCTCTCACCATTCCTATTCAACATAGTGTTGGAAGTTCTGGCCAGGGCAATTAGGCAGGAGAAGGAAATAAAGGGTATTCAATTAGGAAAAGAGGAAGTCAAATTGTCCCTGTTTGCAGATGACATGATTGTATATCTAGAAAACCCCATTGTCTCAGCCCAAAATCTCCTTAAGCTGATAAGCAACTTCAGCAAAGTCTCAGGATACAAAATCAATGTACAAAAATCACAAGCATTCTTATACACCAATAACAGACAAACAGAGAGCCAAATCATGAGTGAACTCCCATTCACAATTGCTTCAAAGAGAATAAAATACCTAGGAATCCAACTTACAGGGGATGTGAAGGACCTCTTCAAGGAGAACTACAAACCAAAAGCTTCTTAAGCTGATAAGAAACTTCAGCAAATCTTAGGATGCAAAATCAATGTGCAAAAATTTCTAGCATTTCTATACACCTACAGTAGGCAAGCAGAGAGCCAAATCATGAAAGAACTCCCATTCACAATTGCTTAAAAAAAAGAAGAAAATACCTAGAAATATAATTTACAAGAGAAGTGAAGGACCTCTTGAAAGAGAACTATAAACCACTGCTCAAAAAATCAGAGAGGACACAGGCAAATGGAAAATTATTCCATGCTCATGAATAAGAAGAATCAACATCATGAAAATGGCCATACTGCCCAAAGTAATTTATAGATTTGAAGCTATTCCCATTAAACTACCATCGACATTCTTCACAGAATTAGAAAAAACTATCTTAGAATTCATATGGAACCAAAAAAAGAGCCTGAATAGCCAATACAATCCTAAGTGTAAAGAACAAAGCTGGAGGCACCACACCACCTGACTTCAAACTATACTTCAAGACTACAATAACCAAAAGAGCATGATACCAGTATTAAAACAGACCCATAGGCCAATGAAATAGAATAGAAACTTTGGAAATAAGGCCACACACTTAAAACCATCTGATCTTTGACAACACGTAGACCAATGGAACAGAATAGAGAATTCGGAAATAAGACCACACACCTACAACCATGAGATCTTTGACAAACCTGACAGTGATAAGCAATAGGGAAAGGACTCCTATTTAATAAATGGTGCTGGGAAAGCTGGCTAGCCATATGCAGAAAATTGTATCTGGACCCCCTCCTTACACCTTATACAAAAATTAACTCGAGATGGATTAAAGACTTAAATGTAAAACCCAAAACCATAAAAACCCAGGAGAAAATCTAGGCAATAACATCTGACATAGGCAGAGGCAAAGATTTCATGAGAGAGATGCCAAAAGCAATTGCAACAAAAGCAAAAATTGACAAATGGGATCTAATTAAACTAAAGAGCTTCTGTATAGCAAAAGAAACTATCATCAGAGTGAACAGACAACCTACAAAATGGGAGAACATTTTTGCAATCTATCCATCCAAAAAAGGGTAATATCCAGCATCTACAAGGAACTTAAACAAAATAACAGGAAAAAAACCCTATTAAAAAATGGGCAAAGGACATGAATAGACACTTCTCAAAATAAGACATATGTACGATCAACAAACATATGAAAAAAAGCTCAACATCACTGATCATTATAAAAATGCAGATCAAATCTACAATGAGAGAGCATCTCACGCCAATCAGAATGGCTATTAGTAAAAAGTCAAAAAACAACAGATGCTGGCAAGTTTGCAGAGAAATAGGAATGCTTTTACACTGTTGGTGGGAGTGTAAATTAGTTCAACCATTATGGGAGACTGTGGTGATTCCTCAAAGAGCTAGTGGCAGAAATACTATTTGACCCAGCAATCTTAATACCTAGGTGATGGGATGATTTGTGCAGCAAACCACTGTGTCACACATTTACCTATGTAACAATCCTGCACATCCTGCAGAGATAGCCCTGAACTTAAAATAAAAGCTGAAGAAAAAAAATTATCTTTATATCTTTCAACTACTAACACCTAAAACAAAACAAAACGGAACAGAACAAAAAGGCCTCAGTGCCTGACTGCAGCAGTTTTAAAAGTTTTTCCAGGGACAATATGCGTTGCCACAAAAATCTGACAGGAAGAAAATAAAAAGCAGATGCAAAATATGTGAAAATAAAAGTGACACTACCAGCTCTGCCTTTGTTGATGGCTTCCTTTTGCAAATTGTCTTCCACTAAGTAATGTAGTCTGCATAAAAATCCTTTCATTTTTCTTCCTCTTTTCTTCCATTGGCTGTTTGATTATAATATTTTGTATATACTATAAGAGTTTTCATATTATCTACTTTTTTGTAACTGCTACATGAAAATAAAAAGAGAAGCACTTTTGAAATTTTAATTATGAGAAAACCAGGAATCTTAGATCTTGATTCAATCTATGTCACTCGGTTACTCATTAGAATTTATATTTTTCTCTTAACAGCACGCTTAGATTCTTGATTTTTCCTTTTCTTGTTATAATAGTATATGCACAGGTTAGTGGATTTAGATTTAGTTTCGTTATATAGAGTTAAAGATATCTTTAGTTAAAGATAGTTGACATTTTTGTACACTTTAGTTTTGAATACTGAAGAAATACCTCATTTCTATGTGAATAAATTATTCTTCAATTGAGTAGCAAATTGGATGCTTAGACATTACTAAAAGTTATTTAAATAATGACACCTTATTAGTATGTTTCCACATACAGATCTGGCCATTAAATATTGATGAGTAGAACACTGACCTTAGAATGTCCAAGTTTTCATGAAAATATTCACTAAATGAACAATAGGATTAGCAAACAAACGGATTATTAAACCTTTGCAAATAGATTATTAAATCTTTGCAAATACATATTTTTATTGCAATACTAGCTTGATCAACTAATGATATGATTTAAGGCATATAGGTTAAAATGGGGATAGTTTATGGAAATGCTACTCACACATATGGAGTCATATGTAATTTTTAAAGCTTTTAACTATTAAACAGGCAAAATAATTGGTGTGAATCTAGACATTCTTTTAGTTAGAAATGTTATAAATTGATACCTTTCATTTTACTATTTATAGTAAATGCATAAAGCCCAAAGTAATTTCTAATCACCTTGCATGTTCATGCTCACTATTTATGTTTACAATAATATTAATAGCGTTTGTAAGACTACATATTTTCTTCTAATGAAAGCATTATAGAATCAATTAGATCACATTGCAATTAGTGAAAAACACTATAAGCTAGTGTGTTTTATACTAAATAAAAAATAATGTGACCTTGAGGTTACCTGTCACTACTCAAGGAATATTTTCACTGTAAATGCAATAAAAGTTAATACATGTAATTACAGAGTGATTAAACATTATTTATTGTTCATCTTTGAGTAGATTTATCTGTTATAAATTGATAAAATTTTAAATAACTGCTTTTTTATAAAGTAGTAAGAATACAATAGAAAATATATAAAGCTTTCTATCAATAACAAAAACAAGTACAGAAAAACAAAAAACCTAGTCCATGTGTACTCCAGCCAAAGGCAGAAATCCAAAAGACACAGTAGCAAAAGGTCATGTCAGGATGCTAGCTCACCATCTGTAGCAGAAAGCAGAGCCTGTTTTCAGTAAGGAAAATGTATGTTTAATGCAAAGAACATTATTTCTAACAAGTAACTTATCGGGAATATGGAGCCATAAGGAGTTTAGAAGTAAAAAAGTCAGCAATAAAGGGCACTGGTGTCCCTAAAAGGCCATGATTAAGTGTCTGGCTGAGGCTTCTGCTTGCACAGGATTTTTTCTTCCCTCTCTTAGTTTGCAGCACAAAGACTGGCCCCACTGGAAGAAAAACTTGTTATCCATATAGTGTATCACTCAGTTGGGTACAGATAACTACATCTCTTCCTTGTGGGAAGAAATCCTTTTTATTAGGCTTTGTGGGCCCATTCTTTACTTACATTGTTTGGGTGCCAGTTATGGGAGGCCAGGCTTTCCCTTTCCCACTGGAGTCAGCATTCTTCAGGGCAATCCTCAAAACTCCTGCAAGACTCCATTCCCAAACCAGACTCTTCTACTCTAACCTGCCAATTTTTAAAAAATTATTACAGTACAGCACATTCAAATCTAATGTCATGTTTTTATATTGCTGTTAAAATCTGAAAAAGACAAAATAACCCAAAACAAAACTTAGGAAATATGAACAAATTAACAGCATAATAGAAATATAAGGCTTTTACTATACTAAGTATTTACTTGAATTGTTTCTATAATCAATATATTGGCCTGATGTGTTAGTTACACTTACACATTCATTTAACAGATGACAAAACAGATCAAATTGCTGAGTGCCCCACACCCATGAGAAACCGAAGCTCTGATTTAAACTCAGGCTGACTCCAGAACGATACTCCTAACCACAAGGATGTACTGCCTTTTCATTTTTAATAACTAGTTTCAAAACTCAGATGTTCCTAGATATTATTCCTACTGGCATCTTTCTATTTTTGTCACTTCCTCAGAATTTATGACATTTTATATACATATACACACATACATATACATATAAACATCCATATATGTGTGTGTGTATATATAATATATGTATACATTATATATGTAGTATATTATATAATATATGTATAATATATAGGTATATGTGTATATTATACAATATGTGTGTATATGTTATATATACACATATATAGATATAAATACATCTATAATATACATATATATATTTAAAAATGTATTTGTTCACCTTTGTGTGGTGCTCAGAACTGTGCCTTGTGCTTTTCATGTTTGAACTTATTTAATCATTAGAACCATTCTGTGAGAGTGATATTGTTATCCTCATTTTATAGAGGTTAAGTGATGCACTGAAGATCATTGAGTTTGCATATGGTTGAGCTTGGATTAAAAGACTTTTGTCCCAATCTCTGTACAACCCAAATGCTCTTTACTCTTAATTAGATGTAACATGCTTCCTTCGTTTCTCAAGTTTTATCTCTATTAGTTAACTATACATTATTTAATATAGGGACAATACCTTCCAAGTCATATACAATTCCTATAGCCCCTAACACAGTAAGAGTTTAATACATAGTTGGTGAATTTATTTCCACCCTTAGGATTCCTGTCCTGGTTTGTAGAATCTCCAGCTGAGATCATAAATCTCCTCTTAAATTTACTACAAATACTTAGACTCCTGAAAAATGTCTCATGACGACAAACTTCTTACCAAGGAGCACTGATGATTTTGATCAGACCCAGAGAATGTCAAGGTGAAGATTGATACAACAAAATATTGATGCCCATAGATGTAAATATTGTTGACCTTCCTATACTTTCAAGTTTCTACCAATAAATTTCAAATCATGAACAATCTTAGAAGAAATATGTCCCCCACTCCCACACAAATAGCCTTTGGCTAAAAAATTATCTAGGACTGAGGAAATCATTTATGGTTTCTTTCTTCTGTCCACCGCCAACATATGATTTTTAAATTGTACTTTACAGCACCGCAACCCTGATTCTTTCCTCCATTCATTTTCTTTTTTACCCTTTGGTCACAAGGGAAATCTGGATTCTTTTGCCCACCTGAGGCATCTGTTTTCTCTTTCTATCTCCATGTTTTCATCATACTTCTCATGTATGTTTTACTTCCCCTTTTTTCTTTCACTTGGCATTCCTCCCTACATGGGCATTCCAGTGTGAAACCATAGTGATATTCAGGCATGCAACTAATGAAGAGGCAGATTCTTATCTGAGCTTTTGCTGACACTCTTAGGGAAAGCTTCATCGTATTTATTTAGATTTTTTAAGATATAGTTGTTTCTTATCAATGAAAGTTATTTTTTTCATTTTATATTACAGAAGAGACATTTTCTACTAAAAAGAGTGTAAATGTTCCCTGCCATCACTGCAGTTTCACAGAATAGAGATTTGCTGATAAATATAACCACTAATGAGGACACAGATTCCAACCCAGAGTAGTAACAGAGCATGTAAGCTGACAAATTCCAGAATTAGGATTTTTTATAGCATAATGGACAGAAGCAAAAGATTCTATAGAAATCAATTTTTAAAATCACTTACTTGTGCTTTGACCAATTCGAAGTGAACTCAGGACATACAAAATGGAATAACAGACACTGGAGACTCCAAAAGTGTCAGCATTGGAAGGAGAGTGAGGGATGAAATATTACCTATTAGATATATTGTACACTACTTGGTTGATTGGTCCACCAAAAGCCGAGACTTCCAAGAAGCAGAAAGTCCAAGAAAGAAGTGCTGGGAAAATAATCAAAAGGAGCATGTAGTGGAATAATATGAAAAGGATCATAACTACTACCTAAGCTACTGGTCAGAAATAGTGACCAGCTGTAATAAAAGAGAAAATGGGAGATAGTAATAATATACTCTCTAAAGTTTGTATGACTTCCTCTTTATTAATACATGGAGTAAAATCTGTATCATTCTCATTACCAAATGTAGGTTTATTATTTCTCAGGAATACTTTGGTCACCTTCTTAAGCCCCAGAATTAAAAATCTCATCAAGTGTCATTCATTTCTTATATATCTAAGAGTCAAATTCAAGCCTATTAATTTAGACCCATTATAAAATTGTAACTTAATGAGGCTTATTCTGCTTAGGTATGTACCTGTGTTCCAGAGCAGCATGACTATTTCCTTTCTCTAAATACACACAGTACTTTAAATGCCTAACATACGATTTTGTACCCTTTATGTTGTCCTTTGTATCTTATGAATTAATCCTATCCTTGCAGGTGGTCTGTGAGTTTCTTGAAAATAGGGATTGTGTATTATTATCATGCACAGTAAAATGGCACAGTAACTCATCCAAGCATTCATATCATAACTAAATCCCTACCCTAAACCAGGCTCTTTCAAGAGCACCATAGAAATGTGAAGACAATTTTAAAAATAATTTTAGGTGTGAATTCTTTTATCTTTTGATTTGATGTTTTCCTTTCATGTTAGACATCCCTCCTATATCAGAGAAAGGTGTAGCTTCCTCCTTTCTAAAACCAGTTTTTAGAACTGGCTAAGTTCAGTGCTGAATTTATTATAGCTACAACTAGTGATCTATGGACTAGCAAAACTCTAAATGCATTTTTTAAAGCTTAGGGGGATAAAGGAAAGAGGAGGTCTCTATTGGGGATGATTCTGTCTTCTCTAGGAGATGGCTTGAAACAGAAAACTTTTATCTATGGCATCCCAAGAATATGAATGTTATTTCTAAATATGTTGTTAAATAGACTTTGATTTTGATTACATGGTTTGAAGAAAGAAAAAAATTCTACATCTACATTTTAAAGATTCCAGAGATCCATGTATATGTCTTGAGTTTTAGAGACACAAAAATTCTATTCCTTAGACCAACCTCATTTTCCAGATGAGGAAATAGACCCTCCTGAATTAATTGCTCTGCCATTGGTCTCAAAGACAGGAGTCAGGACTTGAATTCTCATTCCAGATCTGCTATTTATCATCTTGCATAAACGTTTGACAAGCCAAAGAACTTTTCCTGGATTAATTTTCTTAAAAGATTGTGGAGATTGCTTCCAATTACCTACCTGTGTGATTATTCTAACTTTCTATTTTACTTTTTTACAATGGGCCCACAACTTCTATTCGTATTGTAGCTACAATAGACGTATTGTAGCTAGACGTATTCTAGACGTATTGTAGCTACAATACGTCTCTTTTTAGACTAGTTCTCTACACAGCACACACACACACATACACACACATGTACATACTCACACAAATGCACATACAGAATAGATTGGAGCCCAACTCAGTATGGCTTGTTGAGTTGACACCAGTGGTAACAGTAAGTATGGATTCTCCAAGAGCTGAAGCAGCTGTGACAATCTTGGACAAATGTAGGCTGTTTGCCACAGTATGGGTGGGCTACACCATCAGCGCTGCCATTAGAATACAGATAAACATTGGCCCCAGTTTCCAGATAATTAGGCTTTCTGACTCCAGCTCACAAGCATTTTTAGTTAGTTCTCATAAATGCAGGTATATGTGCATAAACTGATGTACAGAACTTCTTTTTGAGGTTTTCTGACGTCACTTATCCAAGTTTTGCAGTTGTATGCGAAGACTATTTAATAGACAAGCATAAGTAGTTTATAGCGGCTCTTTTGGCCCTTGTAAATATCTTTCTCTCAAAGTAAACTAGCATTTTTTAAATTTTTTTCTCACTTTGGCACATTTTCTCAGCTTAAAGTTAGTATTTTAGATTTAAGACATAGAGCTTCTGTAAAGCATAATTTTTTTCACAATTTCTAGTATTCTCTAAGTTTGAAATTAAATTACCCACTAGAATTTCAACAGATAGAAGCCTGGAGCCGCCAGTTTGAAATAATGGTGTGCCTTTGTGAACACAATCACTTTTTAAACATCTCTGGTACAGAACAAGTAAACCAAGCAGCAGACTTATTATTAGACATAATAGCAGACGTTCAGGAGAATAGAGAGATGTCCTTGGTGTTTTGTAATTCATCTGACTTGCTTTTTCTTAAAAGCAAAGCCATTGGCTTTATACTATTTTAATATGTCATCTTAGGAGTTTGCAGGCCTGTGTTTAGCACATGTAGAACATAAACACAGCAGAGATTAATACCAGAACAATTTAAGAAGTTCAGAGGAGGAAATCTTACTTGAAATTCACTGAATCTATTTGAAGGGAACATATTTGCAATCAATTCCCAAGGAAAGGTGAAGCAGTGGCTAGATCAGCATTGTTTAATGGTCATTTCTCTCATAGATGACTCTCACAAATTTTAAATTAAAAGAAAAATGGTTTGTAACTGAGCAGGTATCACTAGCAACTTTCCAGAAAACTTAGTTGTCCAACGTTTTTCATTGACTTTTCTTATATTAGAAAATGAAATGTCAGATGCTATTAATTGCATTTTTACAATAAGTAGCTACATCAGGAGTAATGGCTAAACGAAAGTACTTCCTGTCTAATGCACAATAGATATATTCATTTAAATGTATTCAATTTAGATGAATGCAATATGTCTATATTCATTACAGTTATACCTACCTGTGGGCTGAATTGATGAGGTGGTAATTACTACCTTTATAAATGGAACAGCATTGTGAGTCTGGAGGAAGAAAACTCATTTTCTTATCATGTTTCACACACCCACACAGTAGACACATTCCAAAATCTTTCTTCCAATCATAAAGATTTTACCCTTGAATTTCCAGTGGACCTAATGATTGTAAACATGATCACTCAGTAGGTCCTGCTTTTCCGGAGGGTTGCAAAGGGTTGGTCTCATGGGATATGATGGAGGGGAACTGAGAGTCTCAAAATCTCTTCATGCAAAGTAAGTCTCATGTTTGTTATTCTGCATGCCTGCAGTGCAGCTGTAGTCATCATGTGGCATGGATTTGATTATTCTTATACCATACATTGTTTTCTGAGTTCAATGAAGGTAGGACTATTAAAATGTGACTTTGTTGAATACTTTTATTTTTAGAACACTGTTCTAAAAATATAGTCTGCTAATTAGAAAAAGCAAGTACACATAGTTCCTATACACTCTGCCCAACCCTAAATAGTTTCTCTTATTATTATTTGGCATTGTGTGGTGAGTTAGTGTATTAGACTGTTCTTATGCTGCTAACAAAGACATACCCAAGACTGGATGATTTATAAAGGAAAGAGGCTTAATTGACTCACAGGTCCACATGGCTGGGGAGACCTCACAATCATGACGAAAGGCGAATGAGGAGCAAGGTCATGTCTTACATGGCAGCAGGCAAGAGCGCATGTGCAGGAGAACTCCCATTTATAAAACCATCTGATCTCATAATTTATATTCACTATCACGAGAACAGCACAGGAAAAACCTACCCTCCATGATTCAATCACCTCCCACCAGGTCCCTCCAATGACACATGGGGATTATTATAATTCAAGGTGAGATTTGGGTGGGGACACAGAGCCAAACTATATCATTCTGCCCCTGGTTCCTCCCAAATCTCATGTCCTCACATTTCAAAACCAATTATGCCTTCCACTGCCCCTCAAAGTCTTAACTCATTCCAGCATTAACCCAAAAGTTCAAATCCAAAGTCTCATCTGAGAAAAGGCAAGTCCCTTTCACCTATGATCCTGTAAAATCAAAAGCAACTTAGTTACTTCCTAGATACAAAGTGGGTACAGGCAATGGTTAAATACATTCATTCCAAATGGGAGAAATTGGAGAAAACAAAGGGGGTTTAGGCCCCATGCAAGTCCAAAATCCAGTGGGGCTGTCAAATCTTAAAGCTCCAAAATGATCTCCTTTGACCTCATGTCTCACATCCAGGTCACAGTGATGCCAAAGGTGGGTTCCCATGATCTTGGGCAGCTCCTTCCCTGTGACTTTGCAGGGTACATTCCCCCTCCTGGCTGTTTTCATGGGCAGACATTGAGTGTCTGCAGCTTTTCCAGGCACACAGTGCAAGCTGTTGGTGGATCTACTATTCTGGGGTCTGGAGGATGGTGGCCCTCTTCTCACAGCTCCACTAGGCAGTTTCCCAGTGGGGATTCTATGTGGGGGGCTCAAATCCCACATTTCCCTTCTTCATTGCCCTAGCAGAGGTTCTCCACAAGGCCCCACCCCTGCAGCAAACTTCTACCTGGACATACAGGCATTTCCATACATCCTCTGAAATCTAGGCGGAGGTTCCCAAATCTCAATTCTTGACTTCTGTGCATCTGCAGGCTTAATACCACGTGGAAGCTGCCAAGGCTTGGGGCTTACACCCTCTAAAGCCATGACCTGAGCTGTACTTTGTCCACTTTTAGCCATGGCTGGAGCAGCTGGGACACAAGACACCAAGTCCCAAGACTGCACACTGGAAGAGGGGCTTGGGCCCGGCCCATAAAACCATTTTTCCCTCCTAGGTCTTTGGGCCTGTGATGAGAGGGGCTGCCATGAAGGTATCTGACATGCCCTGGAGAGGTTTTTCCCATGGCTTGGCGATTAACATTTTGCATCTCATTACTTATGCAAATTTCTGCAGCCAGCTTGAATTTCTTCCCAGAAAATGGGGTTTTATTTTCTATTGAATTATCAGGCTGCAAATTTTCTGAACTTTTATGCTTTGCTTCCCTTGTAAACATAAGCTCCATTTCCAAACTATGTATTTGTGAATACATAAAACTGAATGCTGGCCAGGCACGGTGGCTCATGCCTGTAATCCCAACGCTTTGGGAGGCCGAGGAGAGTGGATCACCTGAGGTCAGGAGTTCGAGACCAGCCTGGCCAATGTGGTGAAACCCTGTCTCTACTAAAAATACAAAAATTAGTCAGGCATGGTGGCTGGTGCCTGTGATCCTAGCTACTCAGGAGGCTGAGGCAGGAGAATTGCTTGAACCCAGGAGGTGGAAGTTGCAGTGAGCTGAGATCACGCCATTGCACTCCAGCCTGGGTCACAAGAACAAAACTCCATCTCAAAAAACAAAACAAAAAACAAACAAACCCACAAAAATGAATACTTTTAACAGCACCCAAGTCAGCTTTTGAATGGGTTGCTGCTTAGAAATTTCTTCTGCCAGATGCCCTAAATCATCTCTCTCAAGTTCAAAGTTTCACAAATCCCTATGGCAGGAGCAAAGTGCTGCCAGTCTCTTTGCTAAAACATAACAAGAGTCACCATTGCTCCAGTTCCCAATGAGTTCCTCATCTCCATCTGAGACCCTCAGCCTGGGCTTTATTGTCCATGTTGCTGTCAGCATTTTGGTCAAAGCCATTCAACAAGTCTCTAGAAAGTTCCATACTTTCCCATATTTTCCTGTTTTCTTCTGAGCCCTCCAAATTATTTGAACTTCTGCCTGTTACCCAGTTCCAAAGTGGCCTCCACATTTTTGGGTATCTTTACAGCAGCACCCCACTCTACTAGTACCAGTTTACTGTATTAGTCTGCTATCATGCTGCTAATAAAGACATACCTAAGACTGGGTAATTTACAGAGGAAAGCAGTTTAATTGACTCACAGTTCCACATGGCTGGGGAGGCCTCACAATCATGACAGGAGGTTAATGAGGAGCAAGGTCACATCTCACATGCCTGCAGGCAAGAGGGCATGTTCAGGGGAACTCCCTTTTATAAAACCATCAGATCTCATGAGACTTATTCACTATCATGAGAACAGCACAGGAAAAAACCCACCCCCAGTGACTTGATTACTTCCCACTGAGTCCCTCCCATGATACATGGGGATTATTACAATTCAAGGTGAGATTTGGGTGGGGACATAGAGCCAAACAATATCAGTTAGTATATTGTAGTTGATGAACCCGTATTTATACATTATTATTAGCAAAATCTACAGTTTACATTAAGACTCAGTCTTTGTGTTTTACAGTTATATGAGTTTTTATACCACCATATATATTTCAGGAATTCCAGTTCTCTCCCCTTTAGCATATTAAATAACTGGATAAAAATAAATCAATCAATCAGTCAAATGTATTCGTTCTTTCAGTCACTACATTTATTAATTCATGTATTCTTTAATAGACATTTGGTAAACATAAACTCTAGGTCAAGAATTCACTGTAATTTAATTGCTTCAAGCGTTTTCCCGACTCAGGCTTAATATGCATATTTTTTAGTCACTCTTTTTCCTTCCTCACTCAAGGATATTGTCTGATTTTACTGGTGAGCGCTGATATGTTCTGTATTAGAGAAACTGATAGTCTTTCCATTTTGGTGGGCTAATACTGCGTTGTGTCAGCAAAAGTTCATTGGTTTATGTGTGTTATATTTACTATTTTATTGGGTTTTTTTTTTTTTTTTTGAGACAGAGTCTCTCTCTGTCGTCCAGGCTGGAGTGCAGTGGCACAATCTCGGCTCACTGCAAGCTCTGCCTCCCAGGTTCATGCCGTTCTCCTGCCTCAGCCTCCCGAGTAGCTGGGACTACAGGTGCCAGCCACCACGCCTGGCTAATTTTTTTGTATTTTTAATAGAGACGGTGTTTCACCATGTTAGCCAGGATGGTCTCAATCTCCTGACCTCGTGATCCACCCGCCTTGGCCTCCCAGAGTGCTGGGATTACAGGCATGAGCCACCGCGCCTAGCCCTGTTTTATTGGTTGTTAAGCAACTCTGCAAAACAATCTACAGCCTTTATAAACTTGTGCAATGTAGCATCTGTATCTGATCATTAAGAAATCTGGAAATTATATCTTCCCTCTTTTTCCTTCCATTAGACAGATAAGCATGATTAAGCGATTAAGCAATAAAGCAGTAGCTGCTGTTATGATTATCTTTGGATTCACCTGCACTTCCTTATTTCCTTTCTAACTTGTTTTTCTGGTGGAGGAACTGTATATTAATTCATGCTGAGGAAGATGAAATTGGTGGTGGCCAACGTTGATAACTGTGGTCCTAACAGAAATGCATGTGTTCCTAAAAAATAATCCCTGTTTAGACTGGGCACGGTGGCTCACGCCTGTAATCCCAGCACTTTGAGAGGCCGAGGTGGGTGGATCACAAGGTCAGGAGATCGAGACCATCCTGGCTAACACGGTGAAACCCCGTCTGTACTGAAAATACAAAAAATTAGCCGGGCGAGCTGGCAGGCCCGTGTAGTACCAGCTATTCGGGAGGCTGAGGCAGGAGAATCACTTGAACCTGGGAGGCGGAGCTTGCAGTGAGCTGAGATCGCGCCACTGCACTCCAGCCTGGGCGACAGAGTGAGACTCTTTCTCAAAAAAATAAAATAATAATAATAATAATAATCCCTGTTCAATTGCAGTCAGTTAAGAAACATCTCCAAAATAGGCAATTATTTAAGCAAACTTTAAATATTTAATTGTTTCTTCATGTACAGAAATGTAGTCAACAGTCTGGCATCCTGCCTGTAAGTCAGAAATTTGTCATTCTTTCCAAATTAGAAACAATGCTGAGTTGTCCCTAGGGAACGCCACCGAGAGACAATTTCACATGTTTAATGTGCTTTTATTTATCTTTTAATGTGGGCATCTTTGATGAATCATTAATAGGAGGAGAAAAAAATCCCTTTCAAAACTAGTTAGTGGCTGACATCACACCTTACCTGGGCATTGATGGAAAAGTCAAATTTTGTTTATGTCTCATTCCAAGTCTGGCTAATGGATAGTTGGTTCACACTGAACTATAAGAAAAACAATTGATTATGGTAAAATGGGAACAGCATTGGAAAACAAGAATCTGCAGTTCTGATTATGGATTTGTGTGCAATTGCCACTCTCCATTACTTTAGGAAAACTCTTCAATATGCAACATAGATCTCAGAATCTACATAAAAAAGATTGTTCTAAAAGTCTAAAACTACCATGTGTTTGGAATTATACTTACCTACCTACTCTAACATTATTCCAACAGTCTAATTCTCCGTGATATGAATTGTGTTGCCAGGGTAGGCCATACTGTCTATGTGTGTAAGAGAAAAGCATTCTCTGCCTTTTTATTATTATTATTAATTTCACTTTTCAATAAATAGTTACTGAGTTTTTCTAAGTAATAAGTACCATGTTAGATGTTGTGGAATGCAAAGACTATCCTTTTTACAAAAGAAGTCAATCAGCCCAGCACGGTGGCTCACACCTGTAATCTCAACACTTTGGGAGGCTGAGGCAGGTGGATCACCTGAGGTCAGGAGTTCTAGAACAGCCTGGTCAACATGGTGAAACCCCATCTCTACTAAAAATACAAAAATTAGCTGAGCGTGGTGGCATGCACCTGTAGTCCCAGCTACTCAGGAGGCTGAGGCAGGAGAATCGCTTGAACCGGGAAGCAGAGGTTTTAGTGAGCTGAGATCATGCCACTGTACCCCAGCCTGGGTGAGAGTGAGACTTCATATCAAAAAAAAAAAAAGAAAGAAATCAATCATAACTTTGGAGAAATCAACATTAGTAATATTAATGTTAATTAAGTACATATTATGCTCTCTTGACTATGTTTGGAATTCTTAAATAGGTAAAAGTAAAAAAAACAGAGATTAAAAACTCCTGAAAACCCTAATTATGCAAAGAAAATTAAATTTGCTAGCTTTATTTTTATTTTTATTTTACGTTCCTGGGTACATGCGCAGGATGTGCAGGTTTGTTACATAGGTAAACGTGTGCCATGGTGGTTTGCTGCACCTATTAACCCATCACCTAGGTATTAAGCCCAGCATACATCAGCTGTTTATCCTAATGCACTCCCATCCCCCACCCAACCCCTGGAGAAGCCCCAGTATGTGTTGCTCTCCTCCCTGTGTCCATGTGTTCTCATCATTCAGCTCCCACTTATAAGTAAGAACATGTGACATTTGGTTTTCTGTTCCTGCATTAGTTTGCTGAGGATAATGGCTTCCACTCCATCCATGTCCCTGCAAAGGACATGATCTCATTCATTTTCATGGCTGCATAGTATTCCATGGTGTCTATGTACCACATTTTCTTTATCCAGTCTATCACTGATGGGCATTTGAGTTGATTCCATGTCTTTGCGATTGTGAATAGTGCTGCAATGAACATGGTATGCGTGTATTTCTGTAATAGAATGACTTATATTCCTTTGGGTATATACCCAGTAATGGGATTGCTGGATCAAATGGTATTTCTAGTTCTAGATCTTTGATGAATTACTACACTGTTTTCCACAATGGTTGCTAATTTACATTCCCACCAACAGTGTAAAAGTATTCCTATTTCTCTGCAACCTTGACAGCAACTGTTGTTTCTTGACTTTTTAAGCATCTCCATTCTGACTGGTGAGAGATGGTATTTCATTGTGGTTTTGACTTGCATTTCTCTAATGATCAGTGATGTTGAGCTTTCATTCATATGTTTATTGGCCACATGAATGTCTTCTTTTGAGGAGTGTCTGTTCATGCCCTTTGCCCACTTTTTAATAGGGTTGTTTGTTTTTTTCTTGTTAATTCGTTTAAGTTATTTGTAGATTCTGGATATTAGACTTTTGTCAGATGGATAGATTGCAAAAATTTTCTCCCACTCTTTAGGCTGCCTGTTTTCTCTGATGATAGTGGGTTTTTTGTTGTTGTTGTTGTTTGTTTGTTTGCTGTGCAGAAGCTCTCTGATTAGATCCCATTTGTCAATTTTTGCTTTTGTTGCAATTGTTTTTGGCAATTTCATCATGAAATCTTTGCCTGTGCCTGTGTCTTGAATGCTATTGCCTAGATTTTCTTCTAGGATTTTTGTTGTTTTGGGTTTTATATATAAGTCCTTAATCCATATTGAGTTAATTTTTGTATAAGGTGAAAGGAAGGGGTCCAGTTTCAATTTTCTGCATATGGCTGGCCAGTTCTCCCAGTCCTTTCCCAATTACTTGTTTTTGTCAGGTTCATTGAAGATCAGATGGTTGTAGATTTGTGGTCTTATTTCTGAGTTCTCTATTCTGTTCCATGGGTCTATGTGCCTGTTTTTATACCAGTACCATACTGTTTTGGTTACTGTAGCCTTGTAGTATACTTTGAAGTCCAGTAGCATGATGACTCCAGCTTTGTTCTTTTAGCTTAGGATTGTCATTGCTACACAAGCTCTTTTTTGAATCTATATGAATTTTACAATAGTTTCTTCTAATTCTGTGAAGAATGTCCATGGTAGTTTAATGGGAACAGCACTGAATTTGTAAATTACTTTGAGCAGTATGGCCATTTTCATGACATTGATTTTTCCTATCCATGAGCATGGAATGTTTTTCCATTTGTTTGTGTCCTCTCTGAGTTACTTGACCAGTGGTTTGTAGTCCTCCTTGAAGAGGTCCCTCACTTCCCTTGTTAGCTGTATTCCTAGGTATTTTATTCTCTTTGTAAATTTGCTAGCTTTGTATGAGATAGTGGACTAAAGGTGATAAAAATTCCTCTCACCTGCCCAAATTTCCATCAGGAATTTGCTTTGTAGACTCAGGGGAAAATAGTATTTTGTGAAAAATAATTTTATAGTGTCACATGCATTCAGTGATACACACACACACACACACACACACACACACACACACAAACAGACTGCAGAACATCCAAACATTGAGTACCTATATAGGGGAAGAAAAATAATTTTCTTCTTCTCAAGCGTTCTGCTGTGACTTCCTGTAACAAAAGACAAATTAACAAGATAAGAAACAGAAGTTTGATAACATGTATACCTCTTGTGCACATGGGAGATAACCTGGAGAAATAAATAAACTTATAGACTAAATTTCAAACAATTGTCTTAGACTTCAGGCTTAAATATCATCATTCTCCAAAACAAAGAAGTACGCAGTGAAAGGTAAGGTAAGTACGCAGTGAAAGGTCAGGTTAAGACCCATGAAAAGTGCTACTACAAAACAGGAAAGTGTTTGTTATGCAGATTTAAATCTATGCCTTTTCCATTGATTAAGAGTCTCTAGTAATTTAGAGCTAGCCCTCTCTTAGGTTGTCTTAGGTGTCTTAGGAGACACCTTTACAAGTAAAGATTTCCTTTATAGGTGTAAATTTATCTAGAAAAGGGTAGGTAACTTTTCAAACCTTCTCCTGTGTCTATAATTTCTTAAAATAACTAGTTCACAATTATCCTTATGCTAAGGAGGCATACTGGAGTGGCATAGTTAGGTTTCCTACAGTCATATTTTGGGGTGGCATATTCTGAGCCCCATCACCTATATTTGCCATGTGGTATACTTAGTACTTCCCTAAAAATTATCCAATTTTTTCTTCACAACAATCTTGTAAGCTACTTATTATTATCCCCCTTAATCTATTCTGAGATAACTGAAACCTGTAGAGTTTGAACTTCTGTAAGACAGAGGCTGACATTCAAGCTAGTCAGGTCTCAAAGACAAAGATTTTTTTTTCCTATTATAAAAACAGAATAAATAAGTAAATGAAACCTCCAAAGCAAGTTTTCTGTTATCCAAGCTGTTACAGAGATGCAGAAAGATGATGGATGCCAAAAGAGTGTTCTGACTCAGCAGCAGCCACTTGATTGGAAGAGGGGAAAATTCACTCTCTTTGAAGTAGGATTTCATTTGGGGCTAATATAATAGAACGAGTTAGAGAATATTAGAATTCTTAAAGCAATCTCTTACACATAACAGTGAAGGGTCAAATGTGGGCTTTCATGCAAAGAATATGAATTCAATTCTCACAGCTCTGTGCTGGTATTACCCATAAGGAGCTATGAAGAACAGCAATTGATTTCTTCCCTTTCTTTTCCATAATCAGAGCACATATTCACAACCAATGCAACAAGACTACTACCTTGCATTTTCCTAGTACCCATCTCTCAGCTTCAAGAGCATTATGCATTTTTAAAATTATAATTAGTTCTCTCACTCTTCCTGGGAGTTAACTGCTCCATATCATCCCAAACCCACAAATGAGTTAGCGGAGACAGCCTGGAGTTATATGGCATCTGGATAAATGCTTAGCAATTGGAACAGCCTTGAGTATGGTGAATCACGCCTCTGAAGTCAGGCAGATCTGAGCTTTAATCCAGTGAATGAATTTCTAAACATGTTTGTGCCTTATTTTCCATATCTTTAAATGAGATAATAATAGAACATACTTCATAGGGTTATTGTGAAGATTAAGTGGGTGAACAAGTGTGAAGTGCTTGGCACATTTCTAGTTTACAATGTAGTTCATGAGGAGTTAATGTGTAATAATTACAATAATAGTAACAATTTGATAGCAAACATTCATATTTCTAAGTGCATTACTCTAGTCAACACTAGCCACTTTAAAAAACATACGTGTTTTACGCATTAATGTAAAATTTTTGGTGTGAAAAAGTACATATTCTCTCCTTGTACCCAAAACATTAATTATAAAAAGTAATTAAATACTACAGAATTCATACTGAATGACAACAAAAAATGCCCATTGGCATTACCGAATGTTTTAAAAATGACTCTTGTTAAGATAACTGTCATATTCAATATTCAATTTGTAATTTATTTTCAACCTTTAATGAATCATTGAGAGTGATTAACAAGAAGCTTTCTTTTATGTCATACATTTTTTTTCTGTCAGATAAGCTTTCAAAACCTCTTCCTCTAGGCAAACTGTAAGAAGGGAAATTTAAATAACTGGCAAATGAATGAATTCATTATATATCAAATCTTGTATCTATAATTCTTTCTTTATTTTAAAACTTTACTGATACTGAGAATAGGTCATCATTTTTTACTCCTTTCATATATGACACTTCATCTCTAAATATATTTAAAGATTGTGTAATTATTTCAGAGAGTAAATCGTCTTATTTACCTTCAGGCCTATTTTTTCAGTAAAAGTATCCTGTCATTCAACAAAAAGCCAAGAAATAGTGTGTGCTAATAATGTGTATATAATGCTATGTGAGAGAGACATTAACTTCTAATTATTCTTAAGTAGTCTGATCTAGGTAACCCTTAATAGCAATTTGTGATTATCACTCTATCACAACTTATAGTTTTTACCTCTTTACATGTAATTCTTTCCCATTAAACTGTAAACTAATGAGTGTAAGACCCAGTAAGAAATTGACATTTAGAAGTTGCTAAATAAGAGATTCTTGAATATATGAATACTTAATAAACAGTTGAATGAATGGATGGTTACATGTGTGGATAGATCGTTGGATGGATGAGGTAGCATGGAGACAGTGAAAAGCATGCCCCCCTTTACCATTACCTAGCCATTAGATTTTATACAAAACATGAAATTACTAAATATCAGTTGCCTCTTTTGAAAAATAATAGAGATTTCTATCCTTATAATTCAGTCTATGTTTGTATGTTTTGTGGTAGAATTTATACTCCTCCTGTTCACTCTTTCTCTCTTAATAAAGAGGCCAGAATATGCCCTGGAGATTGTCATTAGCACCTTAGAGGTAAGAAAGATAAGAATATCTGCATAATTTCCTGGCAAGAATAATGAAGCAAGAAATGTGATATGTAGTTTAGTCTAACGACCTTGTAAAATATAAGTGTTCAGAAAAAGATGGTATTAAACTTAAATTTTGGTGAAGCTGTCTTAAAATTGTAAAATTTTGAATTAAGAATCATCAATATGATACTTAAAGAACGTTTTAGAAATATAGAATGTTTAGATGAAGGTAAACATTCACTCTTGACCATTGAACTACTGTCATAAAATCACCTACATAATCTGAAAGAATATAAAAATACATTTTTAGCCTCAAATCTATCCTGAATTTTCAGTTGTTCCCCTACACCAGCTCATGAGGCTAAGGTATTTTTGAGCACTAAGGCAGTGTTGACCAATGTCTAAGAACATTGTCAGTTTTCTAAGGCTGCTGTCATAAGGAAGAAAGAAGAACTATGATTAGGCCGGGGGCGGTGGCTCGCGCCTGTAATCCTAGCACTTTGGGAAGCCGAGGCGGGCGCATCACGAGGTCCGGAGATCAAGACCATCCTGGCTAACACGGTGAAATCCCGCCTCTACTAAAAATACAAAAAATTAGCCGGGCGTGGCAGCGGGCTCCTGTAGTGCAAGCTACTGCGGGAGGCTGAGGCAGGAGAATGGCGTGAAAACGGGAGGTGGAGCTTACAGTCAGCCGAGATCACGCCACTGCACTCCAGCCTGGGCAACAGAGAGAGACTCCGTCTCTAAATAAATAAATAAATAAATAAATAAATAAATAAATAAATAAATAAGAACTATGATTAAAACAAAGGAATCCCTAGTTTCAATCCAGTCCCTGTGATTATACTAAGAAAGGACATGAAAAATAAATAAATAAATACCGGCTGGGCGTAGTGGCTCACGCCTATAATGCCAGTGCTTTGGGAGGCCGCGGCAGGTGGATCATCTGAGGTGAGGAGTTTGAGACCAGCCTAGCTAACATGGTGAAACCCCGTCTCTACTAAAAATACAAAAAAACGTAGCTGGGCGCGGTGGCGCGCGCCTATAATCCCAGCTGCTGGAGGGGCTGAGACGGGAGAATCGCTTGAACTCCGGGAGGGGGAGGTCGCGGTGAGCCGAGATCGCGCCATTGCACTCCAGCCTGCACGACAGAGTGAAACTCCATCTCAAAAAAAGAAAAATAACTTAGTGAGAAAGAGTGGAGAAATAATGGTTTCCCTTGATTCTAAGTCTACTAAATCAAGGGATTTAGCACCATCTCAATGCTGTATTCCCGTCTCACTTCTCAATAGTGATTGTATCAGCTGGCAATTTTCCTAGTTCTTTCAACAACTGGGTTTTGACCTTGAAATCAGTCTCCATTCTCATTACTGGCTACAGCCTGTCCACTAATTTTTTATATCCTCCATTATTCTAGAATGTAACCAAATTCTTACTTTAACTCTCTTAGGTAGGCAATCCATATACTTGGTCTAGTTGTGCTGTTAGTTAATGGTATCATTCCCTTCTTTCTTTTTGCCATGTGTTTTACCCTCTTATATTTGGGCTTAAATCATTATGTTACACACGTCTAAATTAATTGTCCCATTACTTCACCCCATTCTGAAAATATGCGTAAATTATTTCTGCTTACTTTCTTTTCTGGTCAGCTATTTGCCTATGATGTACACTTATGACCCGATTTCTTTCTATTGAGGGTAGTCGTTTTGGAGAAACAAAGATAAAATCCATTCTTTAGTTTGTTCATTCATTCTTTATACATATTTACTTGGTATTCTCAAAGTGCCAGTCACTCTTTTATTTGGTATTGGGATAATAGAGCAGAAGTTATAGAATGGTATGAGGCATAAATATATAAACCATGATTATCCATTAATTTGCGTAGTGCATATTAAGTAGCACATATTCTGGGCTAGACAACATGTTGTTTAGTATTGTGTAACAAAAATGAATAAAATAGCTTCTTCCCTCAAAAAATTGGTGGAATAAATAGACATGAAAACAGATAATTTAATGCTATGTGACATATCTGGTAATAGAATTAAAGAGGAAAATATAGAAGCAGGGTTTGATAAAATATGATACAGGCAAGGTAAGAAGTTTTTCTGGTATATTGAGAAGGTTGGCTTTAAAGGAATATAGCAAATCACAGCTGTTTACTAACAAAGGAGCCAGGCATAGGTTGTTTGAATTCAAATTCCTTCTCCGCTTGTTAACTTGGAGCCCATGAGTGTGTAATCTCTCTAAGCACTGGTTGATGCATCTATAATGCAGACTAAAATAGAACCTTACTCATAGGGTTGTTGTGAGGAATGATGAGATAATTCATACACCTTGTGCATAGTTTATACTCAGTAAACATTTGCCACTATTATTCTATAATCAAAGAGATTCTATAATCAAAAGAGGATTTTAAGCAGGAGAATTATGTAGCCAAAACTGTTTTAAGTGGAGCATACTACAAATTTTCAGGAGAATATTTTGAAGAACATGGACATAAACCCATTGGTAATGTGCAGCAGGAACTGATGCTTGTGGAGGAGGCTTTGGCAATGTTGAACATAATGGATACATCAGGCTCTATCTATAGTGTGAATGGGGACACCCATGGGAGAGCATATGAAATGGATAAATCATTTGGCTGAAGATAGAATTGCATAGGACACTAAAATTTAAGGGATAATATCAGAAAAACAGAGGGCTATGGAGGATATAAAGAAGAATGGCCAGTGATGTGCTTGGTAATAGGCACAATCACAACCTAGAAATGGGTGGCAAGAAGAAGGATGAGGAAAAACCAAGCTCCAGACCAGGGCTACTTTAGAAATCATGATATGTCAGTTGATAAGTTAGGGATGATGCAAAACTAAAAGTTATTCTCACAGTGTCATGAATTCCCAGAAAACAATGTGCTCCGTCATATTTCTTTAAGTTAAATACCACCTTGATTAATACGAGATCTGGTTATGCTATTAGAGAGAAGTCTAACCAACATTTATGTATTTTTTCTTAAAGGATTTTGCAGAAAAGAAGTCCACAGCAAAGGCCCTGGAAGATGTAAAGGCAAACTTTTACTGTGAATTATGTGACAAGCAGTATCACAAACACCAGGAGTTTGACAATCATATTAATTCTTATGACCATGCTCATAAGCAGGTAAGGCAAAGTGGGAAAAGTCCTTCATATTCCTGTATTTATACCTTCAGAACAGAACTGTATGAATTTGACCTTATTTACTGCCATATAAGACTGTGAGGTAAGAACATTTTATGTCTTTTTTCCCCCCTGGAAAGGTTGTGTTTTGTGTTTAAATGTTATCCAAAGTCATTTTTTCCTAGAACTACTATAAAGCTGGAGGTAAACTTAGAGATAATCTGAGAGTAGACTGACATATTTATTTTAGAATTATATTCAGTTAACCCTTAAACAACACAGTGGTTAGGAATGTCAGTCAAAAATCCACATATAACTTTTGCAGTTAAAAATCTGCATATGATTTTTAATTCCCTCAGAAATTTACTAATAGCCTACTGTTGACCAGGAAGAAGTTTACTGTAACATAAACAATCCATTAATGCATGTTTTATATATGTTACATGTATTATATACTATATTATTACAATAAAGTAAGCCAGAGAAAAGAAAATGTTATTAAGAAAATAAGGAATAGAAAATATTGTTACTATTCATTAAGTGGAAGTGGATCATCATAAAGGTCTTCATCTTCATTGTCTTCATGATGAGTAGGCTGGGGAGGAAGAGAAAGAGGAGGAGTTGGTCTTGCTGTCTCAGGGGTGGCAGAGGTCAAAGAAAATCCACATGTAAGTGGACCCATTCAGTTCAAAGGTCAACTGTATGTAGGGAAACCAGGACCCAGGAAAAATAATGTCTTATTCAAAGTTACTTAACTAGTTAGTGACAGATTTAGAATCCTGGACTAGTACTAGGACAGAATCTATTATTATAGTCTACATCTTTGTTCAAGGGTCAACTGTATGTAGGGAAACCAGGACCCAGGAAAAATAATGTCTTATTCAAAGTTACTTAACTAGTTAGTGACAGATTTAGAATCCTGGACTAGTATTAGGACAGAATCTATTACAGAATCTATTATAGTCTACATCTTTCAAGGATTCTAAGTTATAGGAAATATTAGGTCTTTGGGAAAGCAATTCTCAATAAAAGATTACATTTTCCTAAGCATACTCTCTTAAGAAAGTCAAAGTTGTTATTTAATAAATGAAACATTGAAAACAGGCAAACAAAAAATCCAAAAGGGAAAAGCCTAGGGGTAATCACAGGTGAAAACATTTCAGTTTATTTACTTGAAAGATCATATGGGCATCTATATTATTAGTGTGGATATACTACATATGGCTGCCTAAATTACCTACTCTCCAAATGTGAAGGAAGAGGCTATTGTTCTCATCTGGTTAGATGTTATCCTTGCTGATTGAGGTATGGCGATACTGGCAATTTAGGAATGTTAAATACCACCGACTGAGAAAAAAAATTTCATGTGGCCAAAGATTATTGCTAACAGCTGTAACAAGGTACACATTCCTGATACCAAATGGACCTGGCATGTTGGAATGTGTGGGTAAGTCTTGTATACTCTATCTCAAATATTTATTCAGATTAAACAAAAATAAATCTTTCGTCAGACATCACTAGCATTATATTGAGTGTATACTAAATATATATGTATATATATGTATATATGTGTGTATATGTAGTATATGTGTGTATATATGTATATATGTGTGTGCATATATATGTATATACATATATGTGTGCATATATATGTATATACATATATGTGTGCATATATATGTATATACATATGTGTGCATATATGTATATGCACATATATGTGTGTATACATATATATACGCACATATATGTGCATATATACATATATACGCACATATATGTGTATATACATATATATACGCACATATATATGTGTGTATATACATATATATACGCACACATATATGTGTGTATATACATATATATATACGCACATATATATGTGTGTATATATATATATCCTTGGGAAATGCCAGCCTGACGAAGACACAGCTTTTATCCCTAAACGTAAGATATATGTATATAGTTGGCTTCGTTTCTCTGACAAGGGCAAGATAATGAGATAAACTGTTTTAGGATTGTAATTCCCAAATCCTAGTGTGCATAACAATGACCTCAGAATATGTTAATTGTTCAGATTCACAGAATCTTCCTCAGATATTCTAGTTCAATAATTCTGAGATAGGATCTAGCAATCTATATTTTAAAATGAATTGAAAATGAAAAATTTCAAACGTATATAAATGTGAACTAATGGCTATCACCCAACTTCAATGATAATCAATCTTGCTTGATTTATACCATCATCGCTCACCACACCTCCACCATTGTTACATTATTTTGAAGCAAGTGCCAGATGGTATATCATTTTATCTAAAAGTATTTCAAGATATATGGTCATGCTTTAAAATTGATGCTTTGATTATTATCTAACCTAAAAATCAACAGTAAATTTTTAAATACCAGTTAGTGCTCTTGTTACCTTAGTGGTCTTATAAATGATTTGTAAATTTGAGTTCATTGAAATTAGGATCCCTAAATATCCACACTTTTGGTTGGCATGTCTTGAAGTTTATTTTGGTATATTTTAATCTATAGGTTTTTCCATCTCTTTTAAAATTGTACATTTTGCAGTTCCTTTTCACATTTGGGATTATGCAAAATTCTACTCACTGTTATCTTTCAACATTTTCCTTGGTTTCCTTTTCACTGGTTTTTATGGATAGAGATTTGGCCAAATTCAGACATATTTTTTTCATGGCAAGAATATATTAGAGGGTATTTTGTGTCCTTCCATAAGGAGGCATATAATGTCTGGTTGTCTCTCTTTTTATAATCTTAAGTTTGATGAGTGAGTTGAGGTACTATCAGATTATTGATCCATTTATCATTAAGTTTCCACTGGCTTTTTTCTCACTAATGATTTCGTAGACATCAATGATCATTTGCTCAAATATCTTTATTTGTATTTATAAAATGATGATTCAAATTCTTTTACCCCTGCTACATATATTAGATAGATTACGTCTGTAAAGAGAAACTTCTTATAAGCACCACCGCCTGTGGGATTTTATGCAGGTGGCTTTCAGGCTGAATATTAAGAAAAATTTATTCAGGGATTTGGAGAAATAAAAGACCAGGAAAGGTCTCATGCAACAGTGGAATTTGATTTGTGCCTTACACACGTATAAATGGATGTTAAAATAGAGGATCAAGGTGAGATGGCATTCTTGTCAGTGGGAATAGAAGCTAAGGTGAGAAAATCGAAGAGCATGAGGCATCTTTTGAGAACTGTAGGAAGTATTGAACTACCTGGGGTGAATCTTCCATATCAGGTCTGCATGCCACAGCATCCCGTGTACTCTGGAATCCTGCCTAATCAATTTGTTTTTTTATCATTTTCTTCAATCTTATTTCTATTAGCTATCTAACATGTTGATAAACAACCTTCCTCAATATTTCTATTCTATTCTATTCTATTCTATTCTATTCTATTCTATTCTATTCTATTCTATTCTATCTATATGCACACTTCCATCTTTCATTTATTTGCTTGTTTCATTTGTTTATTGACTTTCTGTCATTCTAACTTTCCTGGGTATTCTCCTTCATTAAACAATGATTCGGTTTCTACTGTGTGCTACTGTGTCCATTGTGAAAAAGCGACACATTTGGCTTCCACCTTCAGGGAGCTGGTAATCTAAATGAGGAGAAGACAAATCAGTAGATCTTGTGATACATTAATTTAAGTGTTGTAAAAATTTTATACGTAGGACACTTAAAAGAGAGCACACAAAACTGATTCCAGAAAGAAGAGAAGATAAATGAGCTGGATTTCTTAAAGACTGAATAGAAGCTAACTGTGTACTCAAGAATAATAGGTCCTATATGGTAGAAAACCTATTATCAAGGCATGGGGGCAGTTAAAAAGCGTAATCTATGAAGAAGCAAATGATTCACTATGGCTGCTTAAGGCCATCATCACTATCTTGGGGATCACTTTAGAAATCTTTGAAACTGCATCCTATTTACCTCTGCTTTTTGCAGTGCATCTTGTCCTCATTTTTCATTTTGCATTCTCATTTCCACCATCATAATTAATCTCACTTCTAAATTATTGCTGAGGTCTTCAAACTGGACTCCCCACCTCCAGTATTTTTCCTGTTCCACACCAATCCATCCACTTATGACCAGATAAGTCTTTTCAAACTATCCCATTTATATGATCACTCTTTTCCTAGGAAATCTTTAGTGCTTGATGACTGATTTTGGAAAGGGTCTGAACTGCTTATCATGCTATTCAAATCCACAATCTGGCTCTTGACTCCGTTTCCAGATTTATCTTCTGCAAATCCAGAATTTCCTTACAGTTTCTTCAAACATGTCTTATGCTTTCCCACATGCTCATCTTGGATCATTATCTTCTCTCTCCCTGAAGTGCCCTCTTGTCTTGTGTCTCTTTTTCAACACATACTTCTGCATATTTAATGCAGAAATTGACAACTTATATGGGATATTAAAATAGCTGAGATTTCATGGTAAACTAATTTAACACAGAATTTTAAAAATACCTTTTGCTTGAAATCTATTAATATTATTGAGAATTTTTGTATACGCTTCCCACTTTAAAAAACATTGGAATAATTAAATTTGCTATAAACTTTGTTAGACTGCTTTCTTGGATAATATTGAAATACTTCCATTTAAAGATTTATTTTAGCCCAAAATATTTTGAAAATTACCTCAATTTTGGATGAAGCTGAGTTACACTGAAGTAAATCATGCAAAAGTATATATTTTTTCAAATTTCAAAGCTAAATCTGTCCATTTGGTTCTTTCTTCTTTAAGAGCTCTTCTTGATTATGATAATGATTATAATGGTGGTGGTGGAAATTTGGCTATTTTTTGGCCTGAGTAACGTGAACAGTTGCCATAATTTTACTTTCCATGTAGATTCAGATGAACTAGCTGGCTTCTTCTGTTGACCTTCCAAAAATATGCTCTTTTTGGTACACTTAGAAGTAAATCCAAATGCTCATGAAATCCATTCTATTACTCATCAATAGAACATCTTAGATCTGATAACGAAATAATCTATGAATACTCTTCTCTGCTTTTCCTTCATTCATGTATAATTACTCAGGATCCCACCGCTTAATAAGTAATTTCTGAAGCATTTGTTATTATCGTCTGTCAGCATCATGTGTTTATTTTATCACAAAGATTATATTTTCATGGTTATATTGTAATTCTAGACGAGTAAGTCAACACACAACTTCAAGAAATAAAGTAAAAGAGTATGTGATACATATATTTAAATGAATTCCATTGGAGCTTTAAAAATATTTTTCTATAATTTGAATAAAAATTAAGATTATTTATTTATTTATTTATTTATTTATTTTTGCCTCATGGCACTCCACTATGGGCAACACAGTGAGACCTGTCTCCAAAAAAAAAATTAAGATATTTTCTTAAGTATTATTTGTAGAGAAAGGCAGCTCATCAATAACACACCTGATTTTTTAAATTTCTTCAGTGAGGAAAAATAATGAATTTCTAGCTTTGACAAGCCACTCTATATATAGCTCACGTTTTTGGAAACAACTCAATATCTTAGCTATTGCCTTGAACTTCTTAAAATTCTGTGTAAATGTTGAGTATTATTCCTAATGCAGTTTGAATGTGTATACAAATTATAATCACTTAGATAAAGACAGAACTGTAACTATTAATATAGGTAACATGTCAATAACAGCTAATTCCTTGTGAGACTACCTAGAAGTCATAATCCCTTTCTCAAGATTGTTAGCTGCAAATGTATTACTGGGATGAATAATACACATCCTCACATGCAGCAGAACTCTCTCCTGCCCCAGGGACATTCTGACTCATCTCAATTTTGAAAAAACAAATGAGCCAGATCCCTGTACAATTAACCCATAAAAAATATCTTTAATAATAAAAAACAAATCCACTTTGAAACCCTCCACATGTGACGCTTCATCCTTCTAATCTCCATTTGCTTCACAATAGGATTTATTTTTACCCAGAAGGAGCTGTTCACTTGTCAAGCCCTGGATTTGAACTCCAACGGATTCATTGTTTAAAATACTGTTTTGGATTCACCCCATCTCTACTTGCTCTGGATAACATATCAAAACAGAACTACCATTGTCATCTTGACCTTAAGAGGAAAATACCCCAAAATTGCTAAAAGAATTTAATCTAATTCCCTTTTTTTGTTTCTGCAATTTGATTTATATTTTCCCCAAATACTGCCCAAGTGATATATAGTATGTTTAAGTTATTAGTCCTCTAAAAGTGCTAACAAAATGTCAAAGTGTAGATGAGTGGTAGGGTCAGCAACATTGAAGAAATAAAGACTGGAGTGCCTGGAATGAATACCTTCAGTACCATAAAATAATACTCTCTCCTGTTCCATTTTGCATTCTGTAAACCAATATTTCTGGCAAAGTATGTGTGTGTGTGTGTGTGTGTGTGTGTGTGTGTGTGTGTATGAGTGTGTGTGTGTGTGTATCCTGGAATCACCCAGCAGTAGTTGCAACCTTTATTAGCAGAGAAGTATAAGACAAAAGAACCAAAGGTGATCTTAGCTTCCTGCTCCTATTTAACTCTCCCAAATTACTGTCTGTATCTTAGCCAAGAGGCTTTTTGCTCTCAAGGTTCTCCTTACTGAAAAATATATTAAAAATTCTGCATTCTGGCTCCTTCTGACTTCCAGATATATCAAGTAGTTTCCTTCTACCTTATGACACTGGCTATAGCTGACTGTTCCCTCTGTCTGGAAAATTCTTCTATCTGACCTTCAGTGTTCTCGTTCTCTTCATTTGTGTCTCAGCTTAGATGTCACCTCTTCAGTAGGACATTTCCCTTTTACCTTAAGTAGTCAGTTACCAATTTTCCAGTTCTAATGTCCTGTTGCCACTATCAGTGGGGGTGTACCTTGTAATGGCCAGAGCCAGCTGTTCAATATTCAAGAACTTTGTGAGCTGGTTGTTTAACTATTGGTAGATTGAAATCAGCCATAATAGGATATCTACAAACACTACAAGTCAGGGCTTTCTGTGTTTTGTTTGGTTTTTTGAAAGAGTTGATAGACCAGCAGAAAACTGCTTATTATTCTTTAAAAAGAAAAAAAATTACTTTTTAAATTTTGTCCTCATACTCCACTCCCAGCTATTAACCTTATAAAGGGAAGGGCATGGTTCTATTAGCCACTGTGTCTCTAGAACTTAGAGCAATTTCTGGCACATAGTAACATTCAGTAGATTTTTTTTAAATGAAAAAGTAGCTGAATAACTTGGTTTTTAGAGTAGACCATTTCACTCTGTCCTATGTCAATACATTGACCTATCATTGACTAATCATTTCTTAAGTGAACAGAGTAAATACTGTGGTAAACATATGGGGTGCCTAATCTCAAGTTATTTATGATTATTGAACAAAAGGTGTCATGAAATGACATTTTTATAATTTAAGAAAATATTTGATCCCATATTATTGTTGACAAGGTGTGCCACCCCAGTATGTTCAGACTTGACTTTGTGGAAAATTGCTAATCTTCAAGGACTTTTAAGCAAGCAAATGATATGACTAGATTTGTGATTTAGAAAAATAATCCTAAAAGCAGTTTATGTTGGTACACAAGAAGGAGAGCTTGGCTCTGTGATGAGATAAGCGTTCAAGAGTTCAAGAGAGACAATAGGAGTCTTTATAACAATGACAATGAGGGAAGAGAAAGGGATAGATTCTAAAAATTGTCAATGGATTACAAAATGTGAACACATGTTTTGCATAACTAGTAATCAACTAATACAAATTTGAAGAGATTTTAAAAGGTAAATATGTCAAGCGTGAAAAAAAGAATCATACCACCCGGTGTTGACAAGGTGTGAGAAAACATTGCTTATGAGAGTATAAATTGTCTTAATTCTTCAGCGTTCCACTTTTGATTATTATGAAAAGGCTTAAATTTAAATTTTTCTTACTAACAGTTCCATTTGGTAAGTATCCTAGGAAAATAATCAGATGAATTTCAAATATTTATGTATAAGGATATTTAAACTAGAAAAATACTAGAAACAATCTAAACATACAATGAAGAGAGAGTGGCTAAATTATGGTGGACTTAAACTGGAATAATATGCTAGAATTAAACTTAATGTTTTGGGTCTACTAAAAATAGATGATGTAAAATGTAATTCTTAAAAGTTATTATTAGATAATTTATGTTAAAAATCAAGAAATACAGAAGTGTAGAAAAATATTTAAAATTATTTAATAATAATTTGGTTCACATCTTTTCAGATAAGTCTCTAAATGTTTACTATCCAATCACAAACTATGATGTAACAACATAAAATGTGGTTATGCTATACATAATAGTCTTCATATATTTTCACTTAATGTTATATCTCATAAGTCCATAGAGATCTATATTTTATTGTGTTGTTAAATAAATACTCGGAATTTACATTATTGTGACTTGTAAATATTTTTCCAACTGAGCTTCATAACATACTATGATGACTTTATGAGTATATCTTCTTCCTGGAGTTAGAAATTGCTTGACTCTTATATTTCATCAATTTTGCATCACTGCCTATTACTCATTCTTTCCTGAATTATATACCATATATAAGAACAAAGTTTCATTAAAAACATCACATAAGTCAGATAATCAATTAGTCCTTTCTCCCTCTTCCCTTACACATATATAGTAAAGGCCTCCGTCTTTCTGCTCCAATCCTGACAATTTGTTCATCAGGTCAGATGCATAGCTATTGTTCTAGGACTTATTTTCACCATTATTTTGTAAATGCTTTTGCTTCTATCCTGGATTACACTTCTTGTTTCCTTGATCCCATGGCTATGTTTTCTTTATTTCCTGATTTTGGTGGAACCTATCCTCTAGGGCTTCCTAACAAAGGATACATATGAGATAAAATTTGGGGATCCTTGTCTATCAGTAAATGTGTTTATTCTACCCTCGCAGTTGATTTATTTTCAAACTGAGTTGTAACTTTCAGTTTTATTGTTGAGAAGCTATATGCCATCTTGTATCCTAATTGTTCCTTTCAGGAAACCTTTAAACTTTTCATCATCTCTTCCTACAACAAAAATTGGTCTAGTGCCTTCTGTATGCCCAGCACCATTCCAAATGCTGGAGATTCATTATGGAGTGAACCAGACAATCATCTCCATCCTCATGGAGCTAACATTATAGAGAGTGTATAAAAAAGAAAGTGAACATATAAAATATGAAAAAATATATAGGATATCAGATGTTCTACATGCTATGGAGAAAAATAAAGGATTGAAGTGTACAGAGAATACAGTGGGGTAAATAGCATTTTCATTAGGGGTTTTAGTAAAGACCTTAATTAAACAGCAATTATGAACAAGGGCCTAAAGGATATGAAGGAGCAACCCATAGAGCCATCTCTCTGAGAGAGAGAGAGTGTTCCACACAGAGGGAATGCCAAATGGAAAGTTTGGGAAATAGGGCCATTTAGTGTTCCAAATACTCCTAACACATTAACAGTCTAGAACAACTTGCCTTTGGATGGCTTTCCAGTTATTGTGCAGGGCATTCCATGAGATCTCTCAACAGGGAAAAAAATATGTCATTTGTTTTAGAAAAGTGGTATTTTAATATTATTTCTTTGATAATATCTTCCTCTACAATCTATTTCTCTGTTTTCTTTCAAAATCTGAATACACAATTAAAAGACAAAGACTGTCATAGTGTGTCCAGAATTGGCGGGTTCTTGGTCTCACTGACTTCAAGAATGAAGCTGCAGACCCTCGCGGTGAGTGTTACAGCTCTTAAGGTGGCACGTCTGGAGTTTGTTCCTTCTGATGTTCGGATGTGTTTGGAGTTTCTTCCTTCTGGTGGGTACGTGGTCTCTCTGGCTCAGGAGTGAAGCTGCAGACCTTCGCAGTGAGTGTTACAGCTCATAAAGGCAGTGTGTACCCAAAGAGTGAGCAGCAGCAGGATTTATTGCAAAGAGCGCAAGAACAAAGCTTCCACAGTGTGGAAGGGGACCCCAGCAGGTTGCCACTGCTGGCTCAGGCAGCCTGCTTTTATTCTCTTATCTGGCCCCACCCACATCCTGCTGATTGGTAGAGCCGAGTGGTCTGTTTTAGCAGGGCGCTGATTGGTGTGTTTACAATCCCTGAGCTAGACACATAGGTTCTCCACCTCCCCACCAGAGTAGCTAGATACAGAGTGTCCACACAAAGGTTCTCCAAGTCCCTACCAGAGTAGCTAGATACAGAGTGTCGATTGGTGCATTCACAAACCCTGAGCTAGACACAGGGTGCTGATTGGTGTGTTTACAAACCTTGAGCTAGTTACAGAGTGCTGATTGGTGTATTTACAATCCCTGAGCTAGACATAAAGATTCTTCATGTCCCCACCAGACTCAGGAGCCCAGCTGGCTTCACCCAGTGGATCCCACACCGGGGTGCAGGTGGAGCTGCCTGCCAGTCCTGCACCATGCGCCCACACTCCTCAGCCCTTGGGTGGTCGATGGGACTGGGCGCTATGGAGCAGGGGGTGGCACTCGTTGGGGAGGCTCCGGCGGCACAGGGGCGCACGGAGCAGGTAGGGGGAGGCTCAGGCATGGCAGACTGCAGGTCCGGAGCCCTGCCCCGCGGGAAGGCAGCTAAGGCCGGGGGAGAAATTGAGCACAGCAGCTGCTGGCCCAGGTGCTAGGCCCCTCACTGCCCAGTGCCGGCGGGGCCGGCCGGCTGCTCCGAGTGTGGGGCCCGCGGAGCCCACGCCCACCTGGAACTCGCGCTGGCACGCAAGCACCACGCACAGACCCGGTTCCCGCCCGCGCCTCTCCCTCCACACCTCCCCGCAAGCTGAGGGACCCAGCTCCGGCCTTGGCCAGCCCAGGAAGGGGCTCTCACTGTGCAGCGGCGGGCTGAAGGGCTCCTCAAGTGCCGCCAAAGTGGAAGCCCAGGCAGAGGAGGCGCTGAGAGTGAGCGAGGGCTGTGAGGACTGCCAGCACGCTGTCACCTCTCAATAGTTCACAAAAAAGACTCAACTCTGAGATGTCTACAAGAAACCCACTTCAAATATAAAGACCGATTAAAAGAAAACTAATAGAGAAACATGCACCGTGAATACTAGCTGGAAGAGCAGCATTAATTTCAGGCAAAGCTGAGTTGAGCAAGAAGCAAAATTTTCAGAGATAAAGAGGAACATTGCATAATGATAAAGGAATTATGTCTCCAAGAAGACATAATCTTTTATGTGTATGTATTCAACTCACAACAGAGCATGAAAATATGTGATGCAAAACCTGATAGAAATGCAAAGAGAAACAGATGAATCCACTATTTTACTTGGAGATACCAATACCTGTTTGTCAGTAACTGACACATCTAGCAGGCATAAAATCAGTAAGAACATAGTTGAACTGAACAGTTACATCAATCAATTGGATCTAACTTATATCTATAGAATACTTCATCCAACAGCATAAGAGTATACATTCGTCTCCAACTCACGTAAAACATTCACCAAGAAAGACTAAATTATGATTAAAAAATACACATTAAAAGTTTTTAAATAAAAAATCATACAAAATATGCTCTCAAATCACAATGTAATTAAACTAGACACCTGTAATAAATATTTGGAAACTCACAAAACCCTTGGAGATTAAAAACACACGAATTAAATAAATATCAAAAAAGTACAAATATTTCAAGCCAAATGAAAATGAAAATATGTCTTAGTAAAATTTGTGGAATGCGGCAAAGAGTGCTTAGAAAAAATTATAGTGTTGAATGTTATATTGAAAAAAGAAATATCAAAAATTGATAATCTAAGATCTTACCAAAAAAACTGCAAAAAGAACAGCAAATTAAATTCAAAGTAAACAGAAGAGATAAAAATTAGAGCAGAAATCAATAACACTAAAAATAAGAACCAATGGTGAAAATCAATGAAACTAAAAGCTGACTCTCTTAAAAAGATACAGTTAATGTATCTTTAATCAGGTTAACTAAGGAGAGAGATAGACATGGGGAGGGGGAGAGAGAGAGAGAGAGAATGAGCGAGTTAGGATAATAAAGAAATAGTATAAGTGACTCTGTCCCCCCAAATTTGATAACTTTGATGAAATGTTAATTTCTTAAAAGACACAATCTATCCAAACTCATACAAGAAGAAAACAGATTATCTGAATATTAAAGGAGAAAACTAAAGTTGGTGAGCTAACACGATCCAGTTTCAAAAAGTACTATAAAACTAAGTATGTAAATAAGTAAATAAGACGGTATGGTATCGTCAAGAGAATAGATCAATAGATCAACAGAGCAGAGTAGAAATCCCAGAAATAGACATGCACTAATATAGTCAACTCTTGCTCTTTGACAAAGAAGTAAAGGTAATTCCATGGAGAAGATATTCTGTTGAACAAATGGTGCTGAAACACCTGGACATCCACATACATCTGATTTTCTAAAAGAAGCTACAGGCCTTTTCCTAACTGTACATTATTCAATCATTATAGTATGTGTGTAGTGGTATCTCACTGTGATTTGTTTTGATTCCTCCAAAAACTAATAATATGCAACATATTTTCATTTGCTTATTTAACATTTACATATCTTCTTTGGTGAAGTTTCTATTCACAAATTGTGCTAATTTTTCTAACTTGGTTGCTTGCCTTATTGTTTAAGAATTTTTACAGTTCTTCATATATTTTGAATGCAAATCCTTTATGAGATACAAGGTGTATAAATATTTTCTCCCAGAATTGCAAAGTATTTTTATATTTCTCTGAATATTTTATAATTTTAGTTTCCTAATATAGGTCTATGATCTAATTTTGAGTATTAATTTTTGTGCATGATGTGAGGCAAGGGCCCAAGTTCAATTTTTTTCTTATAGATATCCAGTTGTTCCAACATAACTTGAGGAAAATGCTATTTGTGTCTCATGGATTTACTTTGGAAGCACTGTTTGAAGATTATTATTCATAAATGTATAAGTTTATTTCTAGATTCTCTATTTCATTACTTTGACTTATATGTTTATGCTTATGCCATTACCACGCTATCTTATTTGCTGTAACTTTATAGCAAGTTTTGAAATTAGATAGTATGAGTTCTCCAAATTTGCTCTTGTTTTTAACAATTGTCATAGCGATTCTAAGTCATTTGAATTTTGATATAACTTTTGGATTCTGTTTGCAATTTCTAAAGCAAACCTATTTGGATTTTGATAGGAATTGCACTAAATTTAGATTAATTTGATGGAATTTTAATCCTTAACCATATTGAGTCTCCCAATTTATACATATATGTCTCTGTTTACTTAAATTGCCTTTAATTTATTGCAGAAATCTTGTGTAGTTTTTATTTTACACATTTTTTCTTGTTAAATATGACACATATTTTAGTGATTTTTATGCTATTTGAAAGGGAATTTTAATTTGACTTTCTGTTTGTTGCCACTACATGAATATCCAATAGATTTTTTATATTAATATTACTATTTTATATCGATCCTGTAATTTTGTTCAACTTGGTTGTTAGTTCTAGCATCTTTTTTGTTAGACTTTTAGGATTTTATGTATATAAGAACATGTCATCTACAAATAAAGCCAGTCTTACTTCTTTCTTTTTGAGCTATATGCCTGCACTTATGTTCTTTCTTGCACAGAATTCCAATGTGGTGTTGAATAAAAGATGCAGAAATGGCCACTTTTGTGTTCTGAATCGTAGGTAGAGATAATTCTTTTGACATTGAGTATGATGTTAGTTATAAGTTTTTAATAGAAACCCTTTATGAGAATGAAAGCATTTTTTTTACTCCTAGTTTATTGAGAGGGTGTTTTATTTATTTTGAAATTATAAACGGGCTTCCGTTTAGCCAGATGCTTTTTTTTGCATCTACTGAGATGAATGCGTGGTGCTTGCTCTTTATTCTGTTAATGTGGTATAAGATATTAATTGAATTTTTGGATATTAATTCAACCTTGCATTTCTGGAGTAAATCTCACTCATGGTGGATAACATCTTTTTTATAATTTATAGGATTTAAAATTGATGATGATTTGTTAAGGATTTTTGTGTTTCTGTTCTTGAGAGAAATATAGTTCACTTTCTTGAGATATGTGTGTGGCTCTGGTATCGAATACTAGAATTAGAAATGAGTGGGAAATGTTTCTTGCTCTTCCAATTCCTGAGTTTCTGTAGAGTTATTATTCATTCTTTAAATGTTTAATAGAATTTACCAGTGAAGCTACTTTTAGGTACTCTTTTCTTTACTTACTGAAAATTTATTGAGATCATTCTATTTCTTCTTGGCTCGATTTTGGCAATTTCTGTCTTTGTGTAGGTATTGTCCAGTTCATGTATGTTGTCAAAAACTTGTTGGCATAAAATTATATGCAATATTTTATCATAATACTTTTAATATACCCTATCTAATATCCCCTACATTATTTGCTTTGGTGACGCCTGTCTTCTCTATTTTTCTCAGTAAGTCTAGCTAAAGGTTTATGAACATTAGTAATCTTTACAAACAAAATCTGTTTTCATTTATTTTCTTTTTAAAAATCTACTTGCCATTGATTTCTGATTTCTCTTTTGATATGTATAATATACTTTCTCCTTATTTTGTGTGTAATTTATTTATTTTTATTAATTTATTTTTGAGATGGAGTCTCGCTCTGTCGCCCAGGCTGGAGTGCAGTGGCGCGATCTCCACTCACTGCAAGCTCCGCCTCCCGGGTTCACGCCATTTTCCTGCCTCAGCCTCCCGAGTAGCTGGGACTACAGGCGCCCGCCACCACGCCTGGCTAATTTTTTTTTTTGTATTTTTAGTAGAGACGGGGTTTCCCCGTGTTAGCCAGGATGGTCTCCATCTCCTGACCTCGTGATCCATCCGCCTCGGCCTCCCAGAGTGCTGGGATTACAGGCGTGAGCCACCGTGCCTGGCCAATTTATTCTTTTTTAAAGGTTTATTTGCTTTTAACCAAACCTGAACCCTTAGAGTAACTGTTAATATAATAATGAGTTTCTTAAAGTAATTCTATGGGGAACCAATAAAATTGTGCCAGAGCACACAGACATGTGGTTGTCTGACTTAGAAAGTAACTCTGAACAGAAAAATAAATATATAATGTATTTTTTATGAAATCCTCTTTTGATAAATATTTTACAATCATGAATTTGATATTTTCTTGAGAAGTATTGATTATAGCCATTTTGTTTGCATTTTAAAGGTGTACTTACATGGTTTGGCCATATTATGAAATAAATGAAGGCCAAATAAGCCTACCTCAATGTGGGGGTGGGCTTCAGTTTGAGGGGTAGGCTGGAGGAACACTGAAAAAGAGAGCTAACTTTTTTTCTTCTCTTTTTTTTTTTGAGATGGACTTTCACTCTTGTTGCCCAGGCCGGAGTGCAATGGTGTGATCTTGGCTCACTGCACCCTCTGCCTCCTGGGTTCAAGTGATTCTCCTGCCTCAGCCTCCTGAGTAGCTGGGATTACAGGCACATGCCACCATGCCCAGCTAATTTTGTATTTTTAGTAGAGACAGGGTTTCTCCATGTTGGTCAGGCTGACTTCAGGTGATCCGCCTGCCTCGGCCTCCCAAAGTGCTGGGATCACATGTGTGGCCATTGCTCCCTGCCAGTTTTTTCTTAAGAAGTAGTTTTGTGTCTACTCCAGTGCATAGAGTAAAAGCCTTAGCATTTTCCACAATGGAGTGTGAATCTATTAATTTTAGACATAATGTCATACCTGTTTGCAAAAGGGAGCTAATTCTTCAACTTAGCCAAAAAGCCATGTAAGTAAGTAATCATTAGGAGTTTTAACTCAATATAATTTTTTGACTTATAATCCAAGATAAGCCTAGCTAATATAATGAGCTTGTTTTTAAGTAGAGGTATTAAAGATATGGCAATTAATTGTTGAGGTGTATATATGTTAAATGATCTGTTTCTTTTGAATTATACTTCTGTGATATTCCCTTTTCTTTTT
Organism: Homo sapiens; assembly: GCF_000001405.40. Taxonomy (NCBI): domain Eukaryota; kingdom Metazoa; phylum Chordata; class Mammalia; order Primates; family Hominidae; genus Homo; species Homo sapiens. Next base: position 89,234,272 of record NC_000007.14, read on the forward strand.
TTTTTTATTGTGGTCAACCCCCTTTTCTTTCATAATAGCTAGCTAAATGGGAGGAAGTGTATTAAATTGACTACTACTCCATACCCAGAGTCTTTACCCACTCTTAATATCAAACTAGATTCTAACTTTAGGTATAATCTACTTAACCTCTTTGAATAGTAAATGATACCTACTATATAAGATTTCCATGAAATTAAATACCACCTGTGATGGTTAATATTAAGTGTCAGTATGACTGGCTAGAGGGATGCCAAGATGGCTGGTGAAGCATTGTTTTTGGGTATGTCAGTGAGGGCATTTCCAGAGGAAATTGGTGTGTCATACAGGACCAATAGAAACAAGCAGATGAAAGCGAGGGGTTTCTGTCTGTTTCTCTTTCTGTTTCCTCGTCTCTCCCCACTCCCATTTCTCTCTCCCCATTCCATAAGGAAACACCTTTCTCCTCCTTTCCTTGGACATCAGACTCCAGGTTCTTTGGCTCTTGAATTATGTGACTTGAATTAGCAGCCTCCTGGGGTCTCTCGGGTGTTCAGCCTCAGACTGGGAGATGCACTGTTGTCTTTCCTGATTCTAAAGCTTTCAGACTAGGACTGATCCATGCCACTGGCTTCTCTGGTTCTCCACCTTGCAGATGGCCTCTCATGAAATTTCCCTGACTCTGTGAGTTCATTTCCCTAATAAACCCTCTCTCTTATTTCTTATTGGTTCTCTCTCTCTGGAGAATTTGGACTATTACACCATCATAAACTCTCTCAATGCAGTGCTTAATCCAATAAATACTTCTATAGTAAAAATATATTTTTTATTTTTATTTTTAATCTGCATGTAATTGTCTCCTTATCTTTTTATTCTCTATGAGAGCATCAGTTTTCCAGTTTATCCAATATCATAAAATGACAAAACAAAAAAGTAAAAATATAATCAAACCTTTCCTCACTCAACTAGAAATTTCTGTTTATTTTTTCCAGAGAAATATAGAAATATCTGAATCTTAAAGAACCTTATAAAACCATTAGGTATTAGCAGATGCAGGTGTATATTGCACTTTCACATATTAAATTATTGTCAAGTCTTCTCCATAAAGTCAAAAGCTAAATGGAAGTAAACGAAAAGAGAACTTCACACGAAGTAATGGTGGGACACAATGGTCCATGGTGGTACACATGGACTAAATCCATATCAAAAATCTGAGTTACCCTCCACTTAAAATAATTCCATATGTTTCAAACACAATTAAGGAAACTGGAATACATTTGAGATTCAATTTTGAATAACTAATGTGTGTTAAATTTGAGCAGTATAAAAGCTGCCCTTTGCAAAAACATCCTGGATCCAGATATATATTTGAAAAAAAGAACTTAATTGGCTATAATAATAGCAGTGATGGTCACCTATTCTTTAGGACAGTTTTTTAAAAAACTGTTTGAGGCTGAAATATATTTGCCTTCTGTGGGCAAAACCTGATGACCATATTAATTTAGGCCCCAATTTTTTTTTTTTCTGAGGAATGTAACAATTGACTAAACTGAAATGAAATACTCTTATTTGAATGCTTCCCACAATGTCTTTGTACTCAGAACAAATATTTAGAAATAGGTAGTAAATAAATGTGTATCAAAAGAATAAAGTCTATTAACATTAAAATAAGATAAAAAGAAAATTTTAAACAAATTTTGTATCAAAACCACATTCTTTATGTATGTTTTGTGGGGGAAACCATATATCTGTTTTCAAAGTTGGCTCCCAAATTTTTGTAGCTTCTCAAATACACATCAAGTTATAATGCTTAGTAGGTGTAATAATATTTGTCAATGACCTCAGCAGGTAAATTTTTATCATTACTTGGCCTCCATATTTGATTAAATTCAATCAACATTTATTTAGCTCCTACCATTTGCAAAGATCTGCCTAATGTGATTTGAGGAGAAAACTGAAGTAAGACATGTCTCTAGTCTTTAGGAAGCTTCCATATGCACGGTAACTAGATATCCAGATTTCATTTGGAAACCAGTAGACTCTTGAGCATATGTAATGATTCCTAGAGCGGTGAGGTGAGAAGAGGAGAGCATGTAAGATAAGTATACATGTAAATCTAACATATTGAGCCAACTGTTATGAAAATTACAAAATTCCCCATGGTGATTAAAATAAGAGAAAATAAGATCAATATGAAAATCATTAATGGACAGCAAAGTTCCATTCATACATATATAGAGAAAAGAAATAATTCTCAAGGCAATTAAAATTAGAACTTTCCAATTTATCTGATGCACATGTGACATTCACCTGGTCATTTAGTGTAATTAGAAATTCACATTAGTCATATTAAATTCATGGTAAAATACAAAGAGTTCAGAATCCCAAACCATAGTGAGATTTAAAATTATGTTTATGTTTGAGAGAATAAATTGAGATTAGCATACATAATTTAAGTTTTATGAAATCATTCTCTTAGATTTAATAGATGGTGCTTTTATATAAGGAAATGAACATGGCTCATCTCGCTGTATTCTTTTTGCAATTCCATAAAAATATTCTGACAAGTAATTTTAGAATCTGGAAGTCTTGTTTTTGGGGTTAGACTATTGTTTTCTAATTAATATAATTTTAAAGTTTAAATTTATTTTTCAGATTTTACATGTGAAACATTAGGAAAGATTAATACATTGCTAATGACATGAAGGTAGTATGGAAAAGTAGGCAGAATAGCAACCCAAAGTCTAAAGCTATGACTCCACCATTAATAAACACTTAGAATTTAGTAATGTCACATTGTGTTTCTTAGTTTTAATATTCATGTGAAAATTACGATAATAACACATATCTCACCCAGAAGAAAAAAAAATTGTGAAGAAACTTAGAAGTTCTAAAAATATAAGGTATAATGTAAACATGAATAACAATAACATTTATAGCTTGATGTTTTTTCAGGCCTTGTAATTTTCAAAATATGTGTATATAGTTAGCTGATTAGAAGAAAATATGGTTGACTCATTACTGTGGAAATAGCCTGATACAGTGAAAAGGCCATGTTTTCAGTTAGAAGACTTAGATTTGAGCCCTAGTCCAATCACTTTTTAGTTTTCTGGTTTCTGTCACATCATTCATCCTTACTGAATACCTTCAGTTTCCTTAGGTGTGATCTATCTGAGGCTCATAGATCTGTCCCATCCACTTGAAAATGTTGATGTGATGATGATGATGAGTTCAGATGAAGCATGTTAAAGTACTTCATAAGTTCCTAAACAAATATAACTTTATTTTTCTTATCTTGATTTTCTAAACAAATTCATTTGTGTAGTATGTTAGCTCTAGGCAGAAGGTGCAGGAATAAGTACAGTTCAGAGAAGCTGTAGTGGGGTAGTCAATGGCTTCCAAGCCTGAGTCAGAACTGTCAATCTTAGGTTCACAGCTGGGTGTGCTCCAGAGAAACTGGACCATAGGAACTGCCTGTCATGAAGTTTTATAACTATTCCAACTATTCGGTGCAAGGTGATTGCTGCCAGCACTTCTCTATATGCTATGGGAAAATTACACACCAAAGATCTGTCATATACAATTGCTTTATTCCAGATACTCACAATCCAGACAGAGAGATAATAAACACAAAAGTACTCTAATAAGAATAAAGAGTTTAAAACCATTTACCAAGTTTCACAAAGAAGAAACTGTTAATTGACAAATGACAAGTTAAGAAAATAATTGCCCCTCTCACAAATACTAGAGATCTGAGCATATCTGTCTGCAGATGGGAAGAATCAAGTAAGGCAAAAAAGATTCAAAATGCACGAATGAATGCAGGTAAGGAGAGGGAGGATAATAGAGCAAGGGGTTTTCAGTAGGCAAAGTGGAATTAGATCAAAGCACAAGTAAAGCAGACATGGAAAGGAGGAGGGGCAGAACTCTGAGAACAAGGGCATTAATGAGGGAATGTTTATAGAAATGTATATTTTGAAATGGAGAGAGGAAGATGAGAAAACTGATGTCTGATGTTGATTTTATGAATCATCTGATGAACATAATCCCTAAATTTATGAAACTACATCTGATGAACATCATCCCTAAATTCATGAAACTACTAGTTTTCTAAACTAAGGGTTGTGATCTGTGAGTGGGTCATGACTCATTATGGAGTCATTGAATCATTTTAGTGGGTTGCAACTAGTAATGTTCAAAAATAAAATAGGCTGAAACAGACAATATTACATCCCACTGCATTTTGTAAGAGCAAATTTGTTTTGTGAAATTTTGTTGCAGTTAAATTTATATGTATGTGTATCCTGGGTCATGAAATAAAAAGGATATTTTCTGTGGGGTGCAGTTAAAAAATCCCAAAAACCACTCAACTAGAGAATCTCTATAAACTGAACAGAAATATTGCCAAGGGGCAAATAAAGCTTGTACGTATCATGCTGGTTTAGATTTGTGTTGAGTAGTTAATACAATGTCTGCCTTATTCCAGTGGTTCTCAGAAGGCCAGAAGCACACATTAAGGAACTAGTGATGTTGATCAAAGGTTAGAAATTAGACCCAGTGGAGTTAGGGCTGTTAGGGAAATGAAGATGCCCTGGGTGTTGTTGAGGCTAGGTCAAGGTGGCAGACCTGACTTTCCAGACTATTGCAGGAGGATCCTCAATTATTAAAGCTTCAGTTGTTGGAAAATATCTTTTCCATTGAGCTTCAAGTCTACCTTCTTGTAATATCTACTCTTAATATCTATGATTTTGTCTTCTGGTGCCACACACCATAAATCTAATCACTTCTCTACAACAAGGAGTTTTATGTTTTTAAAAATAGCTATTGTCATTTGGGTTCACTTGGGTCTAAATGTAATGCTAGTTCAGGGAGCCCTAGAGGCCTGGAATCTTATAAGAGTGAGTACAAAAATTTAGTTGAAACTGTAGGCATGATAAGGGACTGGTTTGTGCAGGACAGAGTCTGTCAAATCTGAGGATGCCCAAACTGAATGGGACAGGTGTGTGGGTCAGCAGAGGGCACACACATATGCAGAACTGCCAATCAGGAAATGAGATGGCAACCACAACATCATTTCTGAACTCTTCTCCCTCTCTTTGAATTGGCAATATGCCTTGAGAGAGGGCCTGATACCCCAGAGTTCAAGTCGCTCTTAAATCTTCATTCCTGCTTTTTCTTCAGCTTTTTCTCATGGGTTTTCAGCCCTTCATATGTCCTCAGAACAGCACAGCCCTTCAACTTTTCTAAATCCAGCTATTTAGAATACCTTAAATGTATATCACTGGCCAGTTTACTGTGCTTCTGAACATGTAAGGAACTTATCAATTGAATATAAAATTAAGCTACTTAAAAATATTTGGATAAATCAGCTGTTTTTGAATGACTGATTCTGTGTTTGGTCACATCGATAGACCCATTTATCTATGAGGGTTCCCATATGTAGATTAGTTTATTTATATCTACAGATACATTGAGTGGGGAATAGAAGTTTCGCCTATAATTTTACTCACTTTTAACAATGTGGACTTTCTGTCTATATTATGTCATTTTTCTTTATATATATATATAAAATTTAATAGATTGACATTTTTATTACATTAGTTTTGAAACTTTCATTGAAAAATCTAGTGTTTCATTGAAATAACTGTATTATATATGGTCTCTTATAATTCAACTGAGTGTTTAATATTGGGCAAATACATTCTTATGTCATTAATGGTATCTAACTTCTCAATTAAAATAAATTCTCTATTCTTGTGAGTTATGTATTGCACATTAAATTAGGATAAAATAATAATTAATTAATTGTAAATATTTTGAATAAAATGTCTTGATTTCTAGTTACTACTAGTATTTTTAAAAGAGAAGCATGATTTATTTTTCAGACAATAACTTACAAATAATCATATTCAAATTGTCATTTTATAAGTAGGAAACTGAGTTCTACAGATATTTAATAATTTTCAAAGTCATTTTGCTAGTCAGTAGTAACAGAACCTAGCCTGTATTTCTAGCTTGAATAAGTACTTTAGCTTCCTCAAACTCTTGTGGGTTAGGTCTGATACTGCAATAGAAAGGCTATGTCTATCAGATTCCCTTTTGGTTATGTGAGCTTTGCGTGGGTTTGTTCATGTAAATCCCATGCTGAGGTGAAAGTTTTTTTTTCTCTCTTTCTCTTTTTTTTCTGTAAAATGAGCGTTTTGTACTGCTAACATAATTCTTATATATTCTAAGTGAAAAATCATTACATAGTTGTCAATGTATCTCACCTCTCCCTAAATAACCTCTACTATTTATGATTTAGAAATGAATTCCCTCCTTACTTGACCTCTTGCTTGATTTATAATCGACATAGTTCCTATATTTTCTGCTTATATTCTTCATTTTATATTTAGTGCATCTCAATTGATTTTTCTTCTTTACCTTGCATTTTTTTCCACTTTTATCTTCATCTTCCTTGGCTCTCTACACTGAGTATAAATACTAGACCATAGTTTCAACCCATGGGAGCAGAGCATAATTTCTTGCTGAGTACTTAAAATTTTCCTATTTCATTCTATTTTATAATTGCTTTACCCACTGGTTTTCAGAAGATAGGCCTTCATTATTCCAAAGTATGCTTGGTTTATTGTTTAAAAGACACAATAGGCTCACCCCACTTTAGTCCATTTCTAGCCATGCTTTATTCTTTGTTTAACTTTTAATTGCTATTCCAAACTCTACAGTGTCTGTAGCAGATGCTGGCACTGCCGTGTCTGTATTACTCAAGCCTTTCAAGTGTCCTCTAACTTTCTCCCAACTGTCAGTACCTACATCTCTGTCTCTGTGTCTGAGGCATTCGTTTTTGTTTTTACTGTTGTTTTACTTCCTAAAACCACTGAAGGCCATTCTGCTCTTACGTAGAAGAGATATGAGGCTGGACTTAATACAACTTTACTCCCCCAAATCCCTAACAAATAACCCTACTGAATATAAACATTCCATTCCCTTTATAAACAGGAGAATTCTGAAGCATAGGTTTTATCCCAAGTTCCAGTACTTTTCCATGAGATGAAGCTTCAATTATTCACTCCAGGTAGCTGATTTCATAACAACCTTTGTTGGTGCTTTTTTCCTTCTCTGAACCACTACCTCTACTCCCTGCCAGTGTTTCCTGGCCCCCTGAAATACACTATTTACCCTCAAATCTTTGTTTCAGAGTCTGTCTCACTAATTTCCTTGAAGCTATAGCTCTCTGATTTATGAAGTAGTGACAACACTTGAGTTTTGGCAGAATTAAATAAATGTGCAGAACCTGATTCATAATAGGTACTCTAATACTATTGTACCTAGTTAAAATAAATGCTGTCTTTAACCTCTGAGTACTTTCTCCCAAATATAATTTTGCTCCCTCTATATCTCAATAGAATGAGCTATTTTTTACTGCATGGACAGAGCCATGCCAGTGGTCACCAATGTGATAAATCTGAGGGTTGCATATGAAGAGTTCACACATTTTTCTTTTATGCCTGCAACTCCATTGCTAGTCACACATTTTCACGCAGTGAGAATAGTCTTTTTTTTTTTTTCTGCAGTCCTATTTTAATCACTACAAACACTACAGGGTAATGTTCAATGAATGGTTATTGGAAGAGTCTACCTTTTTCTTTTTTTTTTTTTTCTCTTAAAGGAACAATATGCTATGATCTTTCACACTTTCCACCAACTTCTCTTCTCCAGGCTTTTCCTACTTATCCTGTAAAACTTAATTTACAGGTCTTCTACAAAGCTTGACCTCATCCTCCAAAGCTTTTAGTTACTTTTACTCTAAGTTGCCATAGCTTTTAATATTTATTTCAATCAAAGTGCATAATCTCCTGAACTGTTAACTTATTTATCTCATTAGCAAGATCCTTAATTGATGAGGCTGGGTTATTTATTATTGCAACTCAACACCTAGAACAATGTTTATGCATACTGACACTCAACTGTTAGATGAATGGATTAAATTTATAAATACTGTTGGAAAGAAGTAAGCTATTGTTAGGCCTTAAAGTGGCTTTAATTGAATCTAAATTTTAATTGAATAAATTGGTACATCTCAATTGATTTTGCTTTTTTACCTTGCTTTTTTCCCCTATATATTAAAATTACTTTTAATTGCAAAAATTGTAATTACTTTTGTACCAACCTAATAAATAGTTATGGAATATGTATTATTCCACTGCCTCAAATAGACACAGCTGACTATTTCTCATTTACCACCCCTACTTTTATGTTATCATGTAATTAACCATATTCTCCTGTTTCTAATGTGTGGACAACATTTAACTTGCTAATGGTTGATCTGTGAATATTTTTTACTTTAGACACAAAGAAGCCTTTAGGTCATATTATACATTGAAAAAAAAAGATAACTTAAAATAATACAGTATTAGGATTTGACTCAATTTCTGCTTAAGTAAAAGCAAAGAAACTAGATATCAAAATGCATACTTTTTCCAAAGCATATGTAATATAAAATTACATTTATTTCATTTTGTTATATTTGTCATAATTTATCACCTAATTTATAATGTATTGATCTTCTAAATGTTGGAATACAAAGCATATTAGTTTAATAAAAGGTTGAATAATGTGTTTTACTTACCAATTAAATCACTATATAGTATAGCAGTGCTGTAGGAGGAAAACTAGTCTTCCAAAAATCAAAATTTTCATATATGTTGGAAGAGTTGGCTATCACAATGTTACATAGGAGTAGATTCTTGTTTTCTTTTTAATGGATGCTGACAAGAATGCCTGAGAATCCTATCTGCTGGCATTGGAAGATTTTACAAAATACAATCTGATAGTATTTTCCCTACTTAACATTAATCTTCTTATATAATCACTTGGTCTTCTATAAAATTATTTGTTAATTAAAAGAAGTCCTATCATTACTCTTGATACTGCAAAAAAATGGCCTTTATGAGTAAACATAAATATGTAACTAAAACATAAATGAAATCAGGCAGTTACAAATAAGAAAATTAGTCATTTGGGGCAAGCTGAAGAGTTAAGAAAACACGAGGATATAATTTACTGGCACTTCAGATAAAATAGAAAGAAATAATGGGGCTTCTCTCTAGGTATACATATTATAAAATTATAGTATTTTGGCATATTTGTAGTGTTGCTATTTTTATCAGACCAGAATGCACCATTCTCAGCTGTATTTGAGTTGAGAAGAACCAAATAGTTTTTAATATTGAGTGTTCAAAATATTGCATGGGATATACTTATACTCAAAAATAATCATTATTCATCTGAAATTCATATGTGACTGGGCCTCCTTTATCTGGTAACCCTACCTAGTAGGAAAGAATGTTGTGTACATTTTTAAAATACTGATTAACCTAGTAATATGATTATTTAAGGAAACATAAACAAAGGACTATTTCTGAAATATTTTCCAGCGAAGTTTGGAAAGCAGTCTTATCTATTGTGTTAAGATAAAGAAGGGGGAAAGTCATATTTTGTTTTGTTTTGTTTTTTTTTATTAACTTCAATTTCTTATCACTTTTGAACATACAATATGTATTTACTTAGGAGTCAAAAGTTCATGTGGTAAATAAACACTATAAATGTAAACCAAGGATCAATGCTTCAAAAGCAAATTTATTCAGTATAAAATGTCAGAGCAGCTTTTATATTTCCAAATACATAAGATGTAAATTGGAAAGTGTTTGCATTTTAACTAGCTTTAACACATCCATTATATAATAACATGAGAGGAAAAAGGATTACAGCTTCTATTTTACTACCCCTTTAAAATTCCTTCATTTTCATTTTTGTATAATGTGGTTTAGAGGAGAAAAATCAGAACTGACAATATTATTTAATGAAACTTTTAATTATGTAGATAATGTAAATCTAACACCAAGTCTGCACATTTATAATGCTGTTTTCAACATTGTAAAATTGTGGTATTCAACAGTTGGGAAATCTGGAGTAATGTTTGTTTATCTCTCAGAATTTGCTATACAGCTTATGACAAAGAATTCAATGTGAACCACTTCTGAATTATGATGATTATATATAGATGAAATGTTTCAAAACTTACTACATGTGAAGCACTTTGCCTCATGCTTTGCAAACATTGTATACTTTAATATTACGAGTTTTAAAATATTAGTATATTTGAAAAATCACATAAACACTTCCTTTTCAGATATGTTTTGCTAGATAACCCTCTAAAGATAACACTGAATAAAGTAAAAATCCATTGCTGAAATTGCACAAAAATAAAAGGTATGCAAAATCGAAAATAATAAAAAAGCTGTAACTCTGAGTGAAAAGTGAGGATTGAAGATGGCTATCACTTAAAGAATTTTGTATTATCCTAGAAAACTTCATCTTTTAAAAAACAGCTTCATAGCACCTGGAGACAAAAGATAAATACTGGGGAATGCCCAAGCTATAGAGTCTAAGAAGATAAACCCCGGACATAAGGTTTACATCCTCAGCTTCAAAGGAGATGGTGCAAAACTAAGGTGTGACAAAGTATGGATCAAAACATTACAAAGAACCTTGTCCATCATCCATAGTGCTAAGGGAATGTGAAAAAACAATCAATCTGAGAATTAAGTTCTCAGCAGAGTTTTAGTATAATTCACAATCTTTATGATGTGAACAATCTCAAATTTACTTATTTTAAAATTGTGTCAGGCAACTTACACTGGCAAGAGGCAAATGTTTCCTAGAGGAATGACAAATTAAACTATGACATCACATAATACTCAAGTTAAAGTTCTAAGAAAAATAAAAATCTCATGGACAAAATTCACAAAGTGCAACAGGAATAAGGTGTGATTAATAAGAGATTAATACAAACATCAAAATCGTACCCACAAAGATGTTAACATACTGAAAATATTACAACCAAAATTACAAACATAACTATGACTAGGAGATTTTAATAAATGAGAAGCTTGAAAATACAAGCAAGTAAATAAAAACTCAGAAATATTTAGAAAACAAAAAATAAACTTCTAGGATTGAAAAATATAAATTAAAATGAGAAAGAAACATCAATGAATAATAAGCTGTGGCCTAAAAAATAGACTTGAAGAAATTTCACAGAATTTCTCACAGAGACTTTGGTTGGAAAAATATGAAAAAGGAATAATAGACATACTGCTCTTAACTAGCTAAGGGAAAATAATAAAATGTAAAAATTATAGCCGTTTAAATAGCAGAAGAGTTTCAAGTGGCCAGTATTTGAACACAATGAAATTAAATCAGAAACCAATAAGTTTTAAGTAGGAAATTTTACATACTTGGAAATTGTAAGAATTACACCTAAAATTTCATGAATCAAAGAAAATATCAAAAATAATGATGGAAATTAAGATATTTTATTTTTCCAAGATGGTGGATTAGAGGCTTTTAGCATGCTTCAGCTGCTTTGAAATAGGAACAGTGCATAAATATTAACTCTGTGAGGTTTGATTCAAGAAAGACAATGGGAATCCACCAGAATAATGAAGGACACCCTAAATCCTGGGAAGGAGAACATGAGCAAAAAGCCCCTGTGACAGCATCCAGCTGTTAAAAGTGAGTGAAACCCTAGCACACGAGAAAGGCAGACAGCCTCCTTCTGTGACTCAACTTTCCACTGAGGATCTAAGTAACCCAGGGAGAGGGAGAGCCCTTTGTTTCACTCAAGCCATGGAGCTAACTTGGGGAGAGGCTTGGAGGTGCTGTGAGGAATAAACACTGGGAAAAGCTGCAGACATTTTCCCAGACCTGAGACCGAGAGCAGGATGTCATTATAACCTGGGTGCACACAAAGTCAGCCATTTTGTGGTGACTCCGCAATGTGGCCACTTGGGCATTTTAGTCTTGGGGCAGAGATAGAAGTACCTGCTGTGGACCAGGGTACAGACCTCCACAACTAGAACAATAGAAAGTGTCTCAGCAGCAGGTGCTGGAATTGTGCTCCCCACTGTGGGACAAGAGGAGATATATGACAGCTGCAGTTTCTCCTGAACAATAAGACTTGCAGCCAGGAGCAGTTTGTCAACCTGGAACTGTCATTTTTCAGTGCCCCAGCTGCTACCCTGAGATCATGGTGCAGCAGGCCTCTTTCTTTTCCATCACAAGGCAGAAGTCTAGGCATTTGGAACACCTGCTTGCCTGGACCAGCAGCTTAAGCCTCCTCACACTTCATGGACATAGACTGTGGTGCAGCAGGGCCCTCTCAGATTTCCAGGCATTTGAAGCAGCTACTCATCTGGATTAGCAGCCTGACCTGCCCCACATTTCCTGTGCAGAGATCCTGGTGTAAGGAGCTCCTCTGTGTTTTATACCCAGTGAGATCTCCAGGCATTTGAGCACCTGCTCACTTGGTTCAGCAGCCTGAGCCATTTCATTCTTCCTGGCAATAGATCATGATGCAGTAGGGTCCTCTCTGCTGCCCACCCAGGCAGATCTCCAGACATTCTGAGCAACCACTCACCTGGATAAGCAGCCTGAACTGTCCCACCCTTTATGGGCATAGATTGTGGTGCAATAGGACCCTCTCTACTCCATACTTAGGCATATCTCCAGATATTAAAAGCATATACTTGAGCAGATTGGCAACCTGAGCTGCCCCACCCTTCCTGTGCAGAGATCTGTATGCATGGGTGCCATCTCTGCTTCATGTCCAGGCAAATCTCCAGGAATTCAGACCACCTGCTTGCCTGGTTCAGCAGCCTGAGTTGCCCCACCATTCCTGTGAGGAGATCTTGGTGCAGGGGGCTCCTCTCCACTACATGCCTGCACAGATCTCCAGACATCTGGAGCACCCACTCTCCTGGATTAGGAGTTTAGGCTTCCCTCCTACCTGTGCAGAGAACTCAGGGCTGAGGAGATTTCCTAGTTCCACACACCTAGGCACACCTCTGGGCACTTGGTGGCTGCCCAGTGGATTCTCCTTTGACACTGATGTCTGTGCCTGACATCAGGAGAACAGAAACTGGACCTGCCTGGTCTAGCCTTGTTTATCAGGGCCCCCACCCCTCCAGGGATGAGTAGGGTGTTCAGGCCATTGTGCACTCCACAAATCAGGCCATTGCCTGAGGCAACAGAGGGCTTCTGCCATTAAACAAGGATCAGGTGTATACCGAGCTGTGTTGGTCGCAGCTAGCTCTTAACTATAAGCACCATCTACTGGCTGGTAGGTCCAACCACAGAGCCCAATATTCAACTGCTGACAGAAGCGCATAAGGCTATAGAAGTAAAACCAAAACAACCTACCCAACATTGTCTACAATCACATAACCAGGGATGGGTAAAGGGAAAGGGAAATAAAAAAATAATAATAATATTACAGAGAAATAAAGAAAAAGAAAAAAAATCTACCCACAGGAATATAATTACAAAAATTAGAAGTCCTAGTCTCCAGATGACAAGGAACCAGTGCAAAAATTAAGGCACCATGAAATATCTGAATGTAGCAACACCAAAGGATCACAATAGCTCTTCAGCCACATCCCTAACCAAAATGAAAACTCAGAAATGACACAAGGAATTCAAAGCATGGATTACAAGGAAGCTCAACAAGATCCAAGACAAGGTTGAAAAGCAACACAAAGGAATTTCTAATGCAATTCAGGAAAGGAAAGAAGAGATAAGCATATTAAAGAAAAATTAATCAGATCTTCTGGAATTGAAAAACTCACTTAAAGGAATTTCAAAATACAATGGAAAGCTTTATCAATAGACTGAACCAAGCCAAAGTAAGAATTTCAGAGCTTGCAGACTGGTCTTTTGGAGTAAGCCAGTTAAACCAAAATAAAGAAAAAAAAAGTTTTAAAAACAATGAACAAAGTCTTCAAGAAATATGGGATGATGTAAAGCAACCAAATCTATGAATTCCTGGCATTCCTGAAAGAGATAGAGAAAAGATGAACAACCTAGAAAACATACATAAGGGAATACTTCAAGAGAATTTTTCCTAATCTTGCTACACAGTAGACAGCAAGATACAAGAAATCCAGAGAACATCTGTGAGATACTATACAAAACGAACAACACCAAGGCATGTAGTCACCAGTCTGTTCACGGTGAATGCTAAAGAAAAAATCTTAAAAGTAGTTAGAGAAAAAGGTCAAATTATGTACAAAGGGAACACTATCAGGCTAACAGTGAGAGTTCTCAGCAGAAGCCTTACAAACCAGGAGAGTTTGGAGGCCTATTTTCAGCATTCTTTGAAAAAAAAAGAAAAAAGAAAGAAAGAAGGAATTAATGAAATTCCAGCCAAGAATTTCATATCCTCCCAAACTAAGCTTCTTAAGCAAAGGAGAAATAAAATCTTTTTCAGAAAAGCAAGAAGTAAGGCAATTTATAATCACTAGATTATTCTTACAAGTAATACATAAGGGAGTTCTAAATAGAGAAACAAAAGTACAATACCTGCTACCACAAAAATACACTTAAGTACCTAGCCCACAGCCCCTATAAAGCAAACACACAATTGAAACTACAAAGCAACCAACTAAAAACTCACGACAGGATCAACCTCACGTATCAATATTAATCTTGAATGTAGGCTAAATGCCCCCCTTGAAAGTCATAGAGTGGTAAGCTGAATTTAAAAAAAGCACACAGAAGATCCATGTATCTGCTCTCTTCAAGACAACCACCTCACAGTAGCAGCACCTATACTGTCAAAGTAAAGGATTGGAAAAAGAAGCATCATAAGAACAGAACACACAAAAAAAGGCAGGGTAGCTATTCTTATATGAAACAAATCAGATTTTAAACCAATAACAGTAAAAAAAAAAAAAAAAGGACAAAGAAGGGCATTACATAATAAAGTGTTTGACACAACAAGAAGACTTAACTATCCTAAATATATACTCACCTAACATTGGAACACCCAGATTCATAAAACAAGTACTTCTAGACCTATGGAAAGATGTAGATAGCCACACAATAACAGTGGGGGACTTGAACACTCCGCTGACAGCATTAGGCAAGGAACTAACAAATTCTCAGTTTAAATTTAACAATTGGCCAGTTGGACCTAATATATATGTACAGAACACTCTACACATCAACCACAGAATATACATTATTCTCACCTGCACATAGATCATACACCAAGGTTGACCACATGTTCAGCCATATAGCAGTTTTAACAAATTGTTCAAAAAATCAAAATCATACCAAACATACTCTTGAACCAAAGGGGAATAAAAACAGAAATCAATAACAGGAAGATCTCTCAAAACTACAAAATTACATGGAAATTAAACACCTTGCTACTCAATGACTTTTGGGTAAATAACAAAACTAAGGCAGAAATTAAAAAAAATTATTTGAAATAAATGAAAACACAGATACAATATACTAAAAATCTCTGGGATGCAGCAAAAGCAGTATTAAGAGGGAAATTTACAGTGCTAAATGCCTACCACAAAAAAGTTAGAAATACCTCAAATTAACAATCAAACATCGCACCTACAGGAAATAAAAAACAAGAACAAACTAACTCCTAAGGTAGCTGAAGAAAAAAAATAACTAAAATCACACCAGAAGTGAATGAAATTGAGACCCCAAAATCTACCCAAATAATTTATGAAACCAAAAGTTGGGTCTCTGAAGAATAAGTAGGATTGATAGACTGCTAACTAGACTAACATAGGTAGGCCAGCTGTGGTGGTTCACACCAGTAATCCCAGCACTTTGGGAGGCCGAGGCTGGTGAATCACAAGTTGAGGAGTTCAAGACCAGCCAGGCCAAGATGGTGAAACCCTATCTCTACTGAAAATACAAAAAAATTAGCCAGGTGTGTTGGCGGGTGCCTGTAATCCCAGCTACTCAGGAGGCTGAGGGAGAGAACTGCTTGAACCCAGGAGGCAGAGGTTGCATTGAGCTGAGATCACGCCACTGCACTCCAGCCTGGGTGACAGAGCAAGATTTTGTTTCATTAAAAAAAAATATAGGTAAAAAGAGAGAAGATCCAAATAAGCACAATCGGAAATGACAAACGTGATGTTACAATTGATTCCACAGATACCAAAGACCCTCAGATATTGTTATGAACACTCCCATACACACAAATTAGGAAATCTAGAGAAAATGAATAAATTCTTGGAATCACACAATCTCCCTAGATTGAATCAGGAAGAAATTGAAACCCTTAACAAACCAATATCATGTTCTGAAATGGAATCAGAAATAAAAAGAAAAAATCTACCAACTAAAAAAAGCCCTGGATCAGATGGATTCACAGCAGAATTCTACCAGACATACAAATAAGAGCTGGTACTAATCTTCCTGAAACTATTCCAGAAAATCAAGGAGGAGGGACTCCTCCCTAACTCATTCTACAAAACCAGCATCCCCCGATACCAAAACTTGGCAAAGACACAGCAAGAAAACAAAACTACAGACCAATATCCCTGATGAACACAGACACAAAAATTTCTCAACAAAATACTAGCACAGTGAATCCAGCAGCACATCAAAATGTTAATTCAGCATGATCAAATAGGCTTCATTCCTAAGATTCACTGCTGGTTCAACATATGCAAATCAATAAATGTGATTCACCACATAAACAGAATGAAAAACAAAAAATATGATCATCTCAATAGACGTGAGAAAAAGCTTTTGACAAAATCTAACATGTCTTCATGTTAAAAACATTCAAGGAACTAGGCATCAAAAGATTGTACCTCAAAATAATAAGAGCCATCTATGACAAACCCATAGCCAACATCATAGTGAATGGGCAAAAACTAGAGGCATTCCCCCTTGAGAACTGGAACAAGGCAAGAATGCCCACTCTCACCACTCTTATTCAACATAGTACTGGAAGTCCTTCCCAGAATAATCAGGCAAGATAAAGAAATAAAAGGCATCCAAAGAAGTAAAGAAGAAGTCAAACCATCTCTTTTTGCTGATAATATGATTCTATAGCTACAAAACTCTAAAGACTCTACAAAAAGGTTCTTGGAACACATAAATGACAGCAGCAAAGTTTCAGGATACAAAATGAATGTACATAAATTAACAGCACTTCTATACACCAATAATATTCAAGGTGAGACCCAAATCAAAAACACAATTTCATTTACAATAGCCACAAAACAAAAAACAAATTAAAAAACAACTAGGAATACATCTAACCAAGGAAGTGAAAGAAACAAGACATCTACAAAATACTGCTGAAAGAAAGCATAGGTAATACAAACAAATAGAAAATCATTCCATGCTCATAGACTGGAAGTACCAATATCATTAAAAATCCATACTGCCCAAAGCAATGTACAGATTCAATGCTATTTCTATCAAGCTACCAATGTTATTTTTCACAGAGCTAGAAAAAAACTATTCTAAAATTCATATGGAACCATAAAAAGCCAAAATAGCTCTTCAAACCATACCATAAGGCTACAGTAACCAAAACGGTATGGTATTGGTTACTGTACTTTCTATTACAAAAATAGAAAGACCAATGGAACACAATGGAGAACCCAGAAATGAAGCTGCACACCTATAACCATCTGATCTTTGACAAGGTCAACAAAAACAAGCAATGGGGAAAGGACTCTCTAGTCAATAAATGGTGGTGGGATACGTGGCCAGCCATATGTAGAGGAATGAAACTGGACCCCTACCTTTTACCATACAAAAATTAAGTCAAGATGTATTAAAGATTTAAATGTAAGACCTCAAACTATAAAAATCCTAGAAGAGAACCTAAGAAATGGCATTCTGGATGCCGGCCTTCAGAAATAATCTATGACTAAGTCCTAAAATCAATTGCAACAAAAACAACATTTGACAAATGGGATCTATTTAACTCAAGAGCTTCTGCACAGCAAAAGAACCTATCAATAAGAGTACACAGACAACATACAGAATGAGAGAAAGTATTCGCAAACTGTGCATCCAACAAAGGTCTAATGTCGAGAATCTATAAAAAACTTAAATAACTGAAAAAACATAAACAAATAACCCCCTTAAAAAGTGTGCAAAAGACATGAACAGACAATTCCCAAAAGAAGATTTATAAGCAGCCAGCAAACATATGAAAAAATATCAAAACCACAATGAGATACCATCTCACATCAGTCAGAATGGCTATTATTAAAAGTAAAAAGCAAACAAACAGAAAACAGTAGATGCTTGAGAGGCTGTGGAAAAAAGGGAATGCATATACAGTGTTGGAACATAAATTAGTTCAACTACAGTGGAAAGAAGTTTGGACATTTCCCTAGAACTTAAAACAGGACTACCATTTGATCCAGCAATCCCATTAGTGGGTGGATGTCCCAAAGAAAAGAAATCATTCTACCAAATAGACACATGCACCCATTTGTTCATCACAGCACTATTCACAATAGAGAAGACATGGAATCAATCTAGATGTTCATCAATGGTGGATTGGGTAAAGACAATGTAGTACATATACACCATAGAATACTATGCAGCCATATAAAAGAATGAAATCTTGTTCTTTGCAGCAACATGAATGCAGCTGGAGACCATTATCCTAAACGAATTAGCACAGAAGCAGAAAATCAGATGCCTCGTGTTTGCACTTACAATTGGGAGCTAAATACTAGTTACACATGGACATAAAGATGGCAACCATAGACACTGGAAATACTGGGGAAGGAGGGGGACAATTTTTCAAAAACTATTGGTTACTATGCTCAGTAACTGGGTGACGGGAATCTATCGATCCCAAACCTCATGTGTCAGATATTCCCAGGTAACAAACCTGCATGTGTACCCACTATATCTAAGATGAAAGTTGACATTATTAAAAAGAAAAAGTTAACATAAATAAGGACAGAAAAAAATCTATAATTAAATAAATATGAAAATGCTGCTTTTCAAAACTTCTGGGATATAGCTAAGGTAATACTTATAGGTATTCTAGTTTTAAGAGCTTGCTTTAGAACAGAAATAATGCTAAAAGTTAAAGCTAAGTATCCAACTTAAAATTTAAGTATTTTTATAAACAAGAGAGTAATTTAAGCATAAAAAACTAAAATGTAAAAACTAATAAAAATTGAAACAGAAGATCAATGGAGTCAAAAGAAGGCAATTTTTATAAACTAAAAACATGCCTTGTTAAATTAATAAAGAGGCATCAGCCAAAAGTACATTAATATGAAAGACAATATAGGTATAAGTAGAGATGCTATTGATGTTATGCAGCTAATAAAAGAGTATTAGGAAAAACTTTATTCATGTAAACATATATATGAAATGAATACATTCTCATAAAAATTGATTTCACCGAAACTGATTCCAGAAGAAATAGTAAACCTTAATGGTTCAGTCAGAATCAAAATAACTGAAATTTCTTTTAAAATCCTCTCATTGTGTAAACACCAGTTCCAGATGGTTTCAAGGTAAGATTTTCAGGTAATTCTAATATTACACAAAATTCTGCAGACCATTTTAAAAAGAAAGACGACAGAAACAGAAGATTATAAAAAATAAAAAATGTATATTACAGGCCCACCTAGTCATTAACAGATACAAAAATAGTAAATACGTTATTTGCATCTCAATCCATCAATTTAAAAAATAAAAATATATAGGTATAATCTAAGCTGAATTTCTCCAAAGAATGCAAACCCCGTTTATACTAGAAAATGGATGAATGTAGTTCACCTCATTATTCCTACTTTAGATGGAGGGGAAAAATTAATATTCAATATCCATTCAGAATGAAAACCTTAGGAAACTAAAAAAGAAGGGAACTCCCCTAGCATAGTAAATGATTTCTACTAAAATACAATGAATATGTTATTAATGGCACATGTTGAAACCTTCTTTTAAAATTGTGAACAAGAAACAAGTCAGTGGAAAGTTTCTGTTATCACAATTTCTATTTAACATTGCATTGACGGTTCTAGCTAGTGCGGTGAGATAGGATTAAAATGTTTAATAATCAGAAAGGAAGAAACAATGCTGTCACTATATCTACAAAACATAAACTTACTGATTATTAGAATTAATAATTTAGTCATGTTACTAGATAAATATTAATATTCAGAAGAAAACCGCATTTTTAGATAACAGTAAAAATCACTTGCAGAATATAATTGTATTAAAAGAAAATTACAATAACATCAAAAATATGAAATGCCTAATAATTAAACTACCATAAGATGAGTAAATCCTTTAGGAAGAAGACTACATACAATTTTATGGAAGGATATTAAAGAATACCTAAATTAAAAAAAAAACCCACAACACATTCTTAGAAAATTTCAGTAATATAAATGCATGGATAGTCCCTTAACTTAAAATACTCCTTCAAATAAAAATCCCACCAGGATTTCCTGTGGAATGTGGAAAATTTACTCCATATAAAGGATGAAAACAGCCAGGACACTATTTATTTTTATTTTTATTTTTATTATTTTTTTTTTTTGAGTCAGAATCTCACTCTGGGGCCCAGGCTGGAGTGTGGTGGCACAATCTTGGCTCATTGCAGCCTCCGCCTCCCAGGTTCAAGCAATTCTCCTGCCTCAGCGTCCCCAGTAGCTGGGATTACAGGCGCCCGCCACCACACCCAACTAATTTTTGTATTTTTAGTAGAGACGGGGTTTCACCATGTTGGCCAAGCTGGTTGGGAACTCCTGACCCCAGGCAATCCACCCACCTTGGCCTCCCAAAGTGCTGGGATTACAGGCATGAGCCACCACGCTCAGCCAGGACTGTTAAAGAAGAAAAATAAAGAGGGGACTTTTTGTTTGAAGTATTGTAATATATTAATCTGTTCTCACACTGCTATGAAGAAATAACTGAGACTGGCTACTTTATAAAGGAGACAGATTTAATTGACTCACAGTTCCACATTGCTGGGAGGCCTCAGGAAACTTACAGTCATGGAGGAAGGAAGAGGAGAAGTAGGCGCCTTCTTCACAGGGGTGGCAGAACAGAGTGAGTGCAAGCAGGGGAAATGCCAGACGCTTACAAAACCCTCAGATTTCATAAGACTCACTCGCTATTATGAGAACAGCACGGGAGAAACTGCCCCCGTGATCCAGTCACCTCCCCTGGTCCTGCCCTTGACACATGGGGATTATGGGGATTACAATTCGAGGTGAGATTTTGTTGGGCACACACAGCAAAACCATATTATAGTGATTAAAACAGAACAGTGGTGAGGAAGAGATAGACAAGTAAAAAAATGGGACAAAATAGCAGCCTTGAAACTATTCCATTCATGGATGCAAATTGGATTTACAGCCCAGTGGGCGTTGCTGGTTAGTGTGGGAAAAGAGAGCCCATTTCATTAATAATACTGGAAAACATAGTCATCTATTTGAACAATAAAATAAAATTGGACTCCTACATCATACTGTACACAAATAAATATCATGTAGATTAAAGACTTATCTGCAAGAGTATAGGAAAATATCTTTATAATTGTAGTGGAGGAAATAATTTTTTAATAAAATCATAAAAAGCAGATAGCCTAAGGAAAACGATAATTTAAATGATACAAAAAAACCAAAAACTTTACAGAGAGGGAAATATAAGTAATAATCTGTAAAAAAGTGTTTCTAATATTTACAACTGTCAGAGAACTAGTATT
Source organism: Homo sapiens (assembly GCF_000001405.40). Taxonomy (NCBI): domain Eukaryota; kingdom Metazoa; phylum Chordata; class Mammalia; order Primates; family Hominidae; genus Homo; species Homo sapiens. The sequence goes on from NC_000007.14 coordinate 89,255,834, forward strand.
CAGACCATAAATCAGTAAAAAAAGATTCATAAAAGTGAGTAAAAGATAAAAATAGGCATTTTGCAGAGGGGGTAATATAAATTGCTCATAATTTTTTTAATGCTTAAGCTTAATACTAATTAGCAAACTGCAAATTAAAACCAAAACCCAATTCCAAAACATAATGACCTGATTGCAAAAAGTATTAAAAGCACATTAGTATTTGTTCAATACTAGTGTGCTGGGATGATTTTAATGATAAGAAACACTTTATTTTTCTTAAAATAATTTAGCATGGGTCTGCTTTGTGACCAAGCAAATTCATAATCATGTACGTAGACTATAGTAACACTTTCACATTTGTACCAAGAGACTTTTACAATATTCTATTCTTATCAAAACTGTTTATAATAGTAAAAAATTGGAAACCACTCAAATAAGCCATTAAAAGGGTCTGGCTGCTGGGCACAGTGGCTCAAGCCTGTAATCCCAGCACTTTGGAAGGCTGAGGCGAAAGGATTGCTTAAGCCCAGGAATTGAAGACCAGCCTGGGAAAAATAGCAAGGTGCTAAATATATATATGCAAGCTGGGCATGCTGGTATGTGCCTGTGGTCCCAGCTACATGGGAGACTGGGGTAGAAGGATTGCTTCAGCCCAGAAGATTGAGGCTGCAGTGAGCTGTGTTTGGGCCGCTGTATGCCAGCCTAGGCAACAGAGCAAGACTGTCAAAAAAAAAAAAAAGTGGACTAGTTATACATTCAAATACTGTAAAGCACTTAAAATAAACATTCTATCACTATCACATCCAAATAGATGAAGCTTAAAAACATAATACTCAGCAAACAAGCCAACTCAAGGATGCATAGGATATTATTTCATTTGCATAAATATCCAAAACATATGAAACAACACATCTAGGCTTGCTCATAGGTGGAAAAATTACATGAAAGTTAAGTGAGTGTTTTCCATACTCTTCAGAATTATAATTTCCTCTGGAGGAGGAGGATGGTGCAGCTGGCTACAACAGAGGCCTTTATGGCACTAGCAGCTGGTGACATTCACTTTCATAACATCTGGTGGCGATTATTCAGGTGTGTTTACAATTATTCTCTAAACTACATATGTTTAATACTTTTCATTTATGATAGATATAAGAATTAAAACTTTTTTAAAAAAGAGAACATGTATATGAAACTTAAAATGCCATTGTGAGCCAGGTGATTGAGTTAGACAAGTTACTGCTGCTCCTAGTGTGTTACTACCCTGTAAAATGGCTCATTAAAGAACAAATTTTGGGATTTTTTTTCTCATCATCTGTGCTGAGTTTAATTAAAAACACACTTATTATACTGAACTATAGGATGGAGTTTCTCCTGTAGCTGGAGAAGTGTCCCTCAGTTTTGTAGTGACTAAATACTGGAGTCAATTTCTGAAGGAAATTAGAGATTATCCTTCCACGAATTTTTTAAAATATGCTTTGAATATAGCATATTATATGTAAAGTTCTGCATGGTTGTTCCTTCATAAAATACTATATTTTATAATGCACTAGAAAGAATACTGTGATAGAAATCACAAAATTTCAGTTCTTGTTTTGCTTTTATTTCTTATAAGCTTAATCTCTGAGTCCTAATTTAATGCATTATCTATCCAATGCCCAGATCATGTTGTATTACATAATGTTTACATGAAATTATGCTAATAGTAATGTCCTTTACATATAAAAGGAGTCACTACTCTTTGTATTTAATCACTCTTTTAAATGAATAATTGGCATATATTTATAATTGTATATATATATTTTTAACTTTTATTTTAGGTTAAGGGATACATGTGCAGGTTTGTTATAGAAGTAAATTGCATGTTGTAGGGCTTTGGTTTGCAGATTATTTCACTACTCAGGTAATGAGCATAGTACCTAATAGGTAGTTGTTTTATTCTCACCTTCCTCCAACTCTCCATCAAGTTGGCTCTGGTTTCTGTTATTCCCTTCTTGTGTTCCTATGTACTCTATGTTTAGCTCCCACTTATATGTGAGAACATGTGACATTTGGTTTTCTGTTCCTGTAATCACTCTTTTTTTTCCAGTGAGAAGTTTTACATGTTTTCAGGTGCATTATACAGATATTGATATCTCATAAAGTCACCCCATCCAAATTTGCCAACCTTGTATAATATGTCATCAAAATATGATTGGCCCTTCATATTCATTGGTTCCACATCTGTGGATTCAACAAACTGAAGACTGAACATATTTGGAAAAAAATACAATAAAAATAATGCAACAATAAAAATAATATAAATAAAATATAGTATAACAACTATTTATATAAACTTTACATTTTATTAGGTATTATAAATATCTGGAGATGATTTAAAGTATACTAGAGGATGTGTATAGGCTATCTGAAAATACTACACCAATTTAAGTAAGGAACTTGAGCATCTGCAGATTTTGGTAACCATAGGGATCCTGGAACTAATCCTCTGAAGATACCAGGAGCAACTGTGTATATTTTTCACCCCCTTAATTGCTCAGAATCCTGCTCTGCTAGTCTAATGAATAATGAAAATTTAACTGTGTCAGTGTGGCTATGTGTAATAATAGCATGGCAGCTTAATTTTGGTTACATAGTTGAATTATAACAAAATAATTTAGGAAAAGCCATATAGTTGAATAAATGGTTATTCCATAAGCTGCAATGCTCTGTAATTGTAGAATCAAAAACAGGTGAAGATGGTAGCAATAGATATACAATTTACCCTTGAACAAATGGGGGTTAGGGAAACCAACCTCTCTTCCAGTCAGACATCCATGTATAACTTTTAACTCCTCAAAAACTTAGCCATTAAAAGTCTACTGTTGACCACAAGCCTTAACAATAACATAAACAGTTAACACATATTTTGTAAATGTATTATGTACTGTATTCTTACAATAAAGTAAGCTAGAGAGACAATATTTTATTAAAATCATAGGAAAGAAAAAATATATTGACTATTAAGTCAAATTGGATCATTATAAAGGTTTTCATCTTCCTCATCTTCACATTGAGTAGGCTGAGAAGGAAATAGGATGAAATAGTGAAGGAGGTGGAAGAGGAGGCAGGAGAGGCAAACATACTCACTGTAATTTTACAAAAATACATCATAATTTCTGTCTGATTTTTTTTTTGCTTTTTCATTTCTAAAAAAATGTTTCTACAGTTACCAATCCTTTCTCCAAAATTTGCCCATATCATAGAAGGGTTCATGTCATAAGATAAGTCAAAAGTAGTCTTAAATAATCAGAACCCTTCTACCAGATTGTCTAACGTCAGTTTTGTTTTCTGGCACTGCTTATTTGATGTCTTCTTCCTCATCATCTAGCTGTGGTTCAGAAGCCTTAATTTCCCTCATCATCTTTTGTTAATTCCTTTAGTGTGGTGTCTATTGGCTCTACTTTTTCTAAGATCCATATCTTGTAACCTTGCACCCCAACTGTTTTATTGTTGTGGTTGATTTAGTTTTGTTTTTGGTTTTTGCCACATCCACAATCTCTTTTATGATTTCCTTGATTGGCTCTGTTGTAAATCCTGTGATGTCACGCATAATACCTGGGTACAGTTTTCTCCAGCAGTAATTTATTGTTTCAGACTTGATGACTTTCACAGCTTTTTCTATAACAATGATGGCATCTTCAATGGTATAATCCTTCCAGACTTTCATGATGTATTCTCTATCAGGGTTCTCTTCTATTGCATTGACAAGACTTTCCATAGAATGCCATGTGTAATGAGCCTTAAGCGTCCTAATGACCCCCTGATTTAGCAAGTAGACTAAGTCATTGCCTTCAATGTTGAGCTCATGAAGTTCTGGGTGCTAGGGGCATTGTCCAATAGCAAAAGAATGTTAGAAAGGCAGTCCTGTATTGGATCCCAGCACTTTGGGAGGTCGAGGCAGGCAGATCACCTGAAGTCAGGAATTCAAGACCATGGTCAACATGGTGAAACCCTGTCTCTAATAAAAATACAAAAATTAGCCAGGCATGGTGGCAGATGCCTGTAATCCCAGCTACTCGGGAGCCTGAGACAGGAGAATTGCTTGAATGCAACCCAGGAGGTGGAGATTGTAGTGACCTGAGATCACACCACTGCATTCCAACCTGGGCGACAAAGCGAAACTCCGTCAAAAAAATAAAAAGAGAGAGAGAGAGGGAGAGAGGGAGAGAGGGAGAGAAAGAAAGAAAGGAAGGAAAGGAAGAAAAGCAAGAAAGGCAGCCCCTTACTGGGGCTTGTGTCTTCATGGACAAAGCATCAGTGAAATTAATCCAGAATTCTCATTGTCCAGGCTTTCTTGTGGTACAACGAAGACTGCCAGCTGGTGCTTATTTTTTTCCTTTCATCGTTCTGGGGTTAGCAGCTTTATAGGTAAGGGCAGTCCTAATAATAAACCCAAGTGCATTTACAGTAAACAGTAAAGTTAGCCTATCCCTTCTTGTCTTAAATACTAATGCTCACTTCTCTTCCTTACTAATAAATGTCCTTTGTGGCACTTTTTTTTTTGAATAAGGTACTTTTTTCCTTGTTAAAAACCTATTTAGGTAGATATACTTTCCCCTCAATGATTTTCTTAATGGGATCTGGGAATTTTGCTGCTGCTTGGTCTGCAAAAGTTGTTTCCCCTGCTGTCTTGACATTTTGTAAAGCCTAAAGCTATTTCTATAATCATCAAACCATCCTTTGCTTTATATCCTTCACTGTCCTTTTGATTTAAGTTTTCACATAATGACTTCATTTTTTCTCAAATCACATTAGAATTTATAGGCATGCTTTTCTTATACCAATCCTGAAGCCACATAAAAGCTATGTTTTCAGTAAACGGTAAAACAAGTATTTCACAAAAACAGTAAGATTTTGTGTCTGTTGGTATAACTGCAATGACAACTTCATGAATTTCTTATTCTGTCTTTACCATGGTTCTTATGTTGGATTCATTTATCTTGTAAAAGTAGGCAGCTACAGCTGTATCGTATCAAGCAATTCAACTTTTTCTTGCAATGTCATGAGTTTTCTCTGCTTCTTGGGAACACTTCCAGCATCACTAGTGGCACTTCATATGGGTTCGATGTTGTTCTTCAAGGTTTATGGCATTTGCACTAAGCACAATAAAAATATGAGAAAACCATGATAGTTTACCTTTTACTGCTATATGCAATTTACTGTAGACAGGAACTGCTCAATTGAAATGAGTACTGTTACAAGGGCATTTTAAGCAGATAAAACACTTCAGCTCAAGGCAATAGCAACAGGAGGTGACTATAAAATTATTACAGCAATAGAGTAAGTACTATAGTTAATTTTATGCAGTTATGCTTTACTATTGCATCTGTATCTTCATTTGCATTTCTCTGAACTGTAATAGAGCCATGAATAATCCATTTGTATGTATAAGTTTTGATAAATTTTAACTTTTTGTAATAGACTTGTGATATTTTTAGTGGTAAATGATAAAGCAGACTAGTATATACATGTATTTTGTGCAACATGACATACCTTTTTCTTAATTTTTGATATTTTTTGACCTATATTTTATATATATTTGTCTTCAAGTTTTTTCAAATTGTCCAAAGTCTCCCCAAATGTTTCTTATATAGTTATTGAAAAAATACTGTGCATAAGTGACCTGTGCAGTCCAAATCTGTGTTGTTCAAGGGTCAATAGTACACATACAGTCATGCATCTTTTTAAAGACATGCATATGTTCTGAGAAATGTGTTGTTAGGCAGTTTCATCATTGTGGGAACACCAAAAACTGCACTTAAAAAACCTAGATGGTATAGCCTACTACACACCTAATCTATATGGTATAGCCTGTTATCCCTAGGCTAAAAACCTGTACCACATGTCATTGCACTGAATATTGCAGGCAATTGTAACACAATGGTAAGTATTTGTGTATCTAAACATATCTAAATGTTGATTATCTAAACATAGAGAAGGTATAGTAAAGTACAGTATTATGGGACCATTGTTGTACATGCAGTGTGCATCAACTGAAACATTGTTATGCAGTGCCTGACTTTATTTTCCATGAGGTGTGTTATTATATAGCTTAGTCATTTGAATCCGCTTTTCATCAGAATCCTTCTCACTTTCTGGGTTTATTATAATGCTTGTATTTGTTTTTATGTTGATTAATTAGAAATATTTTTGGAAAGTACAACTCTAGAACTTACGTACTCTACCTTAATGAACTCTAATTTTAAAGAGGGAGCTTTAGAAAGTCTTTTAAGGAAATGAAAATACCTTGTGAACTTCCAAAACACTCATATTTCCCCCTTTTTCAACTTCGTTGATTGACCTGGAACCCTTAAAGGAGAAAAAGAATCTATCAAGTAGAGCTGGATCAAGTGTAATTTTGGTTTGTTTTATTTTTTAATAGTTTTTTCTCTCAGGGAAGTTTCATGTCTTTCGTCAGTCATGGGAGTTTCTCTACTATCATTTATTCAATTTCAATTATGCCTCTGGCCCATGCTCATTATTTTCTTGCTCTGGCAGTTTAGCATAATGGTTAAGAGCATGCCCTCTTGAGCCTCAGGTCCAATTCCTGGCTTCTCTATTTATTAGCTATATGACCATGGGTAAGTTAATTACTTTCTCTTCCTCAAAGGCTTGCTGCGATGAGTAAGTAAATGAATATATGTAAAGTGCTCAGACAGTGCTCAGTATATTTTAAGTATTATGTAAGTGCTTGCTCTTATTATAATGATTACTTTTATATAGAGGTGTAAATCTTTTTATCTTTTTTTCCATTCCTCTTTCATACTTTCTGTCTGTATAACATTTGGAATTGCATTATGAGCTACTAGGCTTGGTGCTCCAGAATATTTGTGTGCCCAATAGCTGTGTCCACCTTTCTTTTTTAGTCTATATAATTAGAGTTTGCTTAGTTTTTTGTTACAATCTCAATCATTATACTTTTATATTTCAAAAATCTCTAATAATTTCTTATTGTACAATTGCTTAGTCTTATATAGGTATAATATCTTCCTAATCTCTCTCCAGATATTTGGACATATTTTGGACATTTTACGAAACACACTTTTTGCTAACTCTTTCAACACCTGTAAGTGTCTCTGTCATGGTTCTGATATTTGCTGCTTTCTTGTGCACTTTGTAGCTTAGTTGTCCTGTACGACTATCTCCTCTTTTCATTCAGGGAGATGGGTGTGAGCTGAAATGTGGCTTGGATACTTCGTTAGTGACTGTGAGAAAGTGGCATCCCTTGGCAGCTGTTTTTCTGAGTATGGGCACTTGCAACCAAATGTTGTGAGCCATTCGGGACACATTATGCCTCCGTCTTCCTGACCTCCTTCAGTTAATATTCCTACCTCGGGACTTTTCCATTGTTGTTTGCCAAGGTTAACTTACCTGACTACTCCAGCTGTGAGACCATGCTAATAATTCTGGTCGTTGATCCTTAGCATCTTATTCACTGGTTCCACGCCCTACCAGCACAGACCAGTTAATGTTTTATTTTAAAGTTGTGCTTTGATATGGCTTTTTTCCGCTGCTTGTTGTTTCTCAGGATTCTCTAGACTCTGTAGCGCATCTAGAGTGACTTTTTGTTTTTAGTGGAGCTATGACTTATTTTTATATATGACAAAATAATGTCTATGAATTTGATGCAGAAGGAGAAAATTGCCTAATGTATTCAAGTCTGCTATGTTGAAATAGAATTCAATAGTGACCTTCAAAAAGATATGTTCTAACCACACGAACCTGTGAATGTGACCTTTTTTTTTTTTAAGGTGACTTATGCAGGTGTCATTAAGTTTAGAATCTGGAAATCAGGTCATCCTCGATTATCTGGGTGGACCCTAAAGTTAGTGATAAATGTCCTCACCTGAAACACACAGGGAGAAGGAACAGAAGATCATGTAAAGATAGAGGCAAAGATGGGAGTTATGTGGTCACAAGCCAAGGAACTCCATTAACCACTGGAGCTGGAAGAGGCAGGGAGGGATTCAACTTTAAGATTTTAGAGGAAGTGTAGCCCTGCTGACATTTTGATTTTGGACTTCTGGCTGCCGGGCTATGAAATAATAAATTTCTCTTGTTTCAATTAACCAAGTTTGTGGTAATTTTTAATGGAAGTCCTAGGAAATTAATAAAGGTATCTTCTTCTATTAATACACAATTTTAGCAGAAAATATTGTCTCTCATTTCACAGAAAATATTAAGACAGTACATAAAACCTTCCTTAATTTCCTCCTTGTCACTTACAAACATGTTTATATCCACAACCATACCTACCTTCCACATCCCACCTACTGTTCAAAGTTACATTTGTGTTAGGGAACCTCTGCCATTTCTGCCTCTGCTTTACCAACAAACGTCTTTGTAATCTGGTAGACATTTTCCTTTTACATGTGAACAGAGCCAAGCCTCTTTGAAATAAAAAATCCTGCAGGTTTAACAAATCACCCTTCAACTTCTGCTCTGGATTCTGTCTTCATTTTACAGCCAATCGTTGAGGGAGAGCAGCCAGCACACACCGTCCTGTCTGTATCACATATCTCAAACTAATACAGTCTTTCTCTTGAGGCTAATATGCCACTGAAAGCTAACAGTACCAAGGTCCTTCACATTGCCAAAGCCTGTACACATTTCCTTTGCTTATATCAATTGCCCTCACTTTGATATTTGACTCCGGCCATTGCACACCACCCTTCAATCTCTGTTTACCCTCTTCTTCTGTTTCTTCTGATTGACTGTTTCTTCCCAATCTCACACATAGGTTTCTTTCTCTCCCCAGTGCCTGTTAAATATCAGGAGTATAATCCAAGGTTCTGCCTTTGTCCCTCACTTCTTGCTACATTGTGTGATCTCAAGGTGACCACATTCATACTCATGATTTTATCTTTATTTGATATACTGGAGACTCTCAAATATATTCTCATAATTTAGAACTCACTTTGGGCTTCAATATTGAACATCCAACTCTCACTGGCACATCTCCATTAGGATGTCCCAAGGACACTTTAATCTTTATTTTTGACATCTTCTCATCCTGACTTCAGACTTGTTACTCTGTATTACCTTTTTTAGTCAACAGATTCTTCATTCAAACAACTGAAACAGAATATTGTTATTATCTAGAAGTCCTTTTTGTGTTCTCTTATATCATATCTTTGTATGTGATTTAAGCAATCATTTTATTCTGCTGTATATCATGTAAAATTGGATCTAGAATGATAAATAGTTTTTATCTCAATCACCATGTGCCATTGATTTGTAGGGGCTGCCAAGAGTACAAAGTTGAGAAAGATAGTGTGATCACCTCTAGAGTGAGAGGAAAGACTTCCACAATTGATGATAGATGAAATGGCAAGGGTGAAGAAAAGTGAAGCATCTAGCTCTGAATGTGTTATCCATGATCTTAGATTATAAAGTTCACAGGTTAAGTCAGTGTGTGTGTGTGTGTGTGTGTGTGTGTGCGCGTGCGCGCGCGCACACATGCACGTGCACAGGCACACACTTGATTTGGGATATTTTAGTAAATAAACAGATAAGCACAAAAAGGATGCTTTAGGCAGGAAGAACAAAGTCAGAGAGGAGTCAAGTGGAACTTAGGGGATACTAATAGAACTCCATAATTTAATTTGCATAGAGGGAAGTTTGTAGTTGATGAGAGAAATTTAGATTGGACTCAAATTAGTTAAAGCCATTTGTGCCAAGTTAAATAATCTTTATCTAAGATAATACAGAAGGATAGTAAAATCTCATTCTTTCTGGCATTGTGGAACTTTACAAATTCCATTTAAATTTATTTTTAAACACTTCCCTTACAGGGTAATCTCAAAATAAAATGACGCAGTTTAAAACAATAACAATTATTCAAAAAAATAGAAACATGTTGTGAAAATACAGATTATTTCTCTATTTTAATTAAGAATGGTAGTAACAGCAGTAATATATCTTCTGCCTGCAGTGTCACCCACCATCTGTGTGTTTCTTGACCCCTGGCAATAGTCCCAGGCATGGATAGAAATCATCCCTGCAGTGGGTGCAGCCACATTAATTTTCACTAGGGCTTCATAGTAAGTTTCCATATTGCAGTTCTTTTAGGGAGAGACCTCTGGTCACTCGACTTCATGGCAGACAGCTCAGCTAATTGAAGAAGTGATAGTATTCTCTACAACCATGAGTACAATTAATGAAAGTATTCTGCTATTGCCTAGGCTTAGATTTTTTTTCTTCACATAATTTATCAGAGAATTTGAGGTTTGCAAATAGATTTTTAAGATGTCATTTGGGACTTTCACTGACCTCCAGAACAGGGCCATTTCCATTCTTCTTCTGAGCAGCTTGCCTATTTGACTTTAACAAGCCACCAGAACAGCTGCCCTAACACCCCTGCTGTTGCTATTTCTGATATTACTAGTCTAGCACCAAGGTTTACTTATTTTTTCTCTTTTCTCATCATCAGCCAGCTATGAAAAAAGAACCATTCTTCATGATAAAGGTCATATTTGCATTTCAAAATTTTGAGTGACTGTACTGCCTGATATTAATATATATTATAAATAATATGGACTCAAATTTCCAAGTAGCAGCATTGACTATAAATAAATATATCTAGGTAGGAACTATAGGAGGCTCACCTATCAATGATTGTTTCCAGTTTTAAAGATATACTTTTAATAAACTATAATATGATTTCCTGTAAGATACAGTTTTTCATATAAAAACCAAAGTGGCAAGTACAGTTCAAGTAATTCCAAAGTTCCTCTTGCATGAATAGCCTTCTCACATATGTTATCCTAACATTGATCTTTCATTTAACTTCAAAGTATGCTCTATTTCCCTCTGTGAAATCGGACTTTGTACTTCATTGGTCATTTTATCCACATATGCTTTCTCTTTATGTTTCTTTATTTGGTTCCAAAAATATTGGCATTGTAATAAGTAGAGATTTTATCAGGTATATCATAAAAATAATTATTTATCCTTTTCAGGAAATCAAAAAAGTGAGGAAATGGCTCCAAAAACTTAGTACTAATGTTTGTGTGTCTGTGTTTGTGTGTGTGTGTGTCTTTGGGAGTGTTGGCAATGGAAAGAAGTTAAACTGAAATTGCATACACTAAGTTGTACCAATATTTTGTGAATCAATTTAGATAATTCTGTGCTACTAAATTGGGAACATTATTTATTAGAAAAAGGACTTCCCTGAGAATTGAGGAGTTCACTGTTTGGAGTGATTTGACCAACTGGTTATTTTATCATTCTGCAGACCTTGATTTAAACCACATTTTATGTCCTTATATTCCCTCCTTTTCATTTGTTGATATTGATCCTTTGTTTCACCTTTTTAACCCATTCCCTCAAAATATGAAATGCTTCTTTCTTCTTTCCAAGGCTATATTTCCCACCTGCTAGTGACTGGATTCCCTCTCTCCTTTGTGAACTTGCTCTATCCATTGTAATTTCTCTGTTTTGTATATTCTACACCTTTTATAGTAGCTATTTGATATCAGCCTATGTTATCAGGATTCTGGTGGTTGCAAGTGACAAATCAAATTTGTAAGTGTGGAAATTTATTGGTTCACAAATTTGAAAAGACCAAAGCAATAATTAGTTTTAAACATGACTGCATCCATGGGCTCAGATGATAACATTTTTTTCTTTCATCTCTTCACTCTACTTCCCTCTATGTGTTGATCAAACTTATTTCCACCAAATATGGTCTAGTTATATATGGGACCTGGAGTGACCATAGATGTCTTCAGACCTTATCCTACAAGCCAGGCATTGCAGAAGACAGGACTTCTGGTTGTCCACAGTCAGTTAATGGTTCTTAAGTTCTTGAACTACTGCTGAAATCGGTAGCAAGGAAGGAGTCATTTTCTAATAGAAGGATGTTTTTGCTTTTTCATTTGAATAAGAGAAGAAATGCTGAATAGTGAAGCAATAGGTGTCCTCTAAATATATTTGTTTCTTAACATAGAAAGTACCTTGGGTAGGATAGAAACATAAAAGAGGAAGAGAATTTGGAGAGATTAAAAATCTGATTTGTGACATATTGTGGGGTTTCTGTATGTCTGGTGATAGGTAGCTGAAAATACAGATTGCACTTTAGGATAATGAAATTCACTGTCTTCAATATATTACTCTCTATTTAATTATATCTTTTCTGGAAATAATCTCTCTTTGGTAATCTAAAGGCTGCCCACATTTCACTTTGCTCTTCCTACACATGTTGCTGTGATGAACCTTTTGGACCAAAAGTCTAATGAGTATCTTTCTCCTATGTTTATTAAAAACAGCATTCTTACTAAAAGTAATGACTACTTTTCTTTCTTCATAGTACTTGATTACATTGTCTTTGACATTATTCAATGCTGTATTTCCAACTCCCTATCAACAGACACACACAAATCACAATATCTCACAAATCCAATTTTTAATAATCACTTCCAGATTCCTCCTCTTTCTATGTTTTTATCATATTCAACGATTTTAACAATTCTTTTTTAAAACATCTAGGGAAGTCAGTCAATATTGGCTTTCCTCTTTCTCATGTGTACATTCAGCATCCCAACAAATCCCACCTATGTTAGACTTCTTTAGAGTCTCTTCTCTGCTTTCCAACAACATTGCAAACATTTCATGACGAGATCTTTCTTAAACTATTCCAACAGCTTTTTAACAGTCTGCAGTCTTCATTCTTTTCTATTCCAGGCAGCAAGGCACAAAGCTATTTGATTTATTTTTCTTTTTTTTTCAAGTAGACATTTTCTTTTTAATAAAACAGAGCGCAAATTTAAGAGTCTTGTAATGGGATTCAACATTTTTCCTTCACGCAGCTCGGGTGTGAGTACCTGGCTTTAAAGCAAATCCAGTATGTGAAAATGGGGATGTGTACCCATCAGATCTGGGGCAAGAGATTCACTTCACAGAGTGAATGCTTCTTTTCTTTACCAGAGGAATTTTCATAGTATTCTCTGGAAGGGATAAGCTTTCCTCATACATATAAACACTTAGTAAATTTTTAATTTAAGTACACTCTTTAGACAAGTGCTGTATAAAGAGAAGACTCAGATCAGGCAGATGGTGCCTATTATTTTTCAAGCAATTACCTTAATTCAAATGAAATCCAAATGTTTTGTCAACATCTGGTTGGCATTCAGTGCCTTGCCTAGATTGTTCTTTTTTATTTTTTATTTTTTGGTAATAGAAAAATTTATTTTTTCAAATTAACATGTTTTCTTCTTTGTTTATTATACTTTAAGTTCTAGGGTACATGTGCACAACATGCAGGTTTGTTATATATGTATACATGTGCCATGTTGGTGTACTGCACCCATTAACTCGTCATTTACATTAGGTACATCTCCTAATACTATCCCTCCCCCTTCCCCCTACCCCACAACAGGCTCTGGTGTGTGATGTTCCCCTTCCTGTGTCCATGTGTTCTCATTGTTCAATTCCCACCTATGAGTGAGAACATGTTGTGTTTGGTTTTTTGTCCTTGTGATAGTTTGCTGAGAATGATGGTTTCCAGCTTCATCCATGTCCCTACAAAGGACATGAACTCATCCTTTTTTATGGCTGCATAGTATTCCATGGTGTATATGTGCCACATTTTCTTAATCCAGTCTGTCATTGGTGGACATTTGGGTTAGTTCCAAGTCTTTGCTGTTGTGAATAGTGCCACAGTAAACATATATGTGCATGTGTCTTTATAGCAGCATGATTTATAATCCTTTGGGTATATACCCAGTAATGGGATGGCTGGGTCAAATGGTATTTCTAGTTCTAGGTCCATGAGGAATCGCCACACTGACTTCCACAATGGTTGAACTAGTTTACAGTCCCACCAATAGTGTAAAAGTGTTCCTATTTCTCCACATCCTCTCCAGCACCTGTTGTTTCCTGACTTTGTAATGATCACCATTCTAACTGGTGTGAGATGGTATCTCATTGTGGTTTTGATTTGCATTTCTCTGATGGCCGGTGATGATGAGTAAGTTTTCATGTGTCTGTTGGCTGCCTAAATGTCTTCTTTTGAGAAGTGTCTGTTCATATCCTTTGCCCACTTTTTGATGGGGTTGTTTGTTTTTTTCTTGTAAATTTGTTTGAGTTCTTTGTAGATTCTGGATATTAGCCCTTTGTCAGATGAGTAGATTGCAAAAATTTTCTTCCATTTTGTGGGTTGCCTGTTCACTCTGATGGTAGTTTCTTTTGCTGTGCAGAAACTCTTTAGATTAATTAGATCCCATTCATCAGTTTTGGCTTTTGCTGCCATTGCTTTTGGTGTTCTAGACATGAAGTCCTTGCCCATGCCTATGTCCTGAATGGTATTGCCTAGGTTTTCTTCTAGGGTTTGTATGGTTTTAGGTCTAAACATTTAAGTCTTTAATCCATCTTGAATTAATTTTTGTATAAGGTGTAAGGAAGGGATCCACTTTCAGCTTCCTACATATGGCTAGCCAGTTTCCCCAGCACCATTTATTAAATAGGGAATCCTTTCCTCATTTCTTGTTTTTGTCAGGTTTGTCAAAGAGCAGATGGTTGTAGATGGGTGTTATTATTTTTGAGGGCTCTGTTCTGTCCCATTGGTCTATATTTCTGTTTTGGTACCAGTATCATGCTGTTTTGGTTACTGTAGCCTTGTAGTATAGTTTGAAGTCAGGTAGTCTGATGCCTCCAGCTTTGCCCTTTTGGCTTAGGATTGACTTGGCAATGAGGGCTCCTTTTTGGTTCCCTATGAACTTTAAAGTAGTATTTTCCAATTCTGTGAAGACAGTCATTGGTAGCTTGATGGGGATGGCATTGAATCTATAAATTACCTTGGGCAATATGGCCATTTTCATGATATTGATTCTTCCTATCCATGAGCATGGACTATTTTTCCATTTGTTTGTGTCCTCTTTTATTTCGTTGAGCAATGGTTTGTAGTTCTTCTTGAAGAGGTCCTTCACCTCCATTGTAAGTTGGATTCCTAGATATTTTAGTATGTTTGAAGAAATTGTGAATGGGAGTTCACTCATGATTTGGCTCTCTGTTTGTCTGTTATTGGTATATAAGAATGCTTGTGAATTTTGTACATTGATTTTGTATCCTGAGACTTTGCTGAAGTTGCTTGTCAGCTTAAGGAGATTTTGGGCTGAGACAATGGGGTTTTCTAGATATACAATCATGTCATCTGCAAACAGGGACAATTTGACTTCCTCTTTTCCTAATTGAATACCCTTTATTTCTTTCTCCTGCCTGATTGTCCTGGCTAGAACTTCCAACACTATGTTGAACAGGTGTGGTGAGAGAGAGCATCCCTGTCTTGTGCCAGTTTTCAAAGGGAATGCTTCCAGTTTTTGCTTATTCAGTATGATACTGGTTGTGGGTTTGTCATAAATAGCTCTTATTATTTTGAGATACATCCCATCAGTACCTAATTTATTGAGAGTTTTTAGCATGAAGGGCTGTTGAATTTTGTCAAAGGCCTTTTCTGCATCTATTGAGATAATCATGTGGTTTTTGTCTTTGGTTCTGTTTATATGCTGGATTACGTTTATTGATTTGCATATGTTCAACCAGCCTTGCATCCCAGGGATGAAGCCCACTTGATCATGGTGGATAAGCTTTTTGATATGTTGCTGGATTCAGTTTGCCAGTATTTTATTGAGGATTTTTGCATCGATGTTCATCAGGGATATTGGTCTAAAATTCTTTTTTTTGTTGTTGTGTCTCTGCCAGGCTTTGGTATGAGGATGATGCTGGCCTCATAAAATGAGTTAGGGAGGATTCCCTCTGTTCCTATTGATTGGAATAGTTTCAGAAGGAATGGTACCAGCTCCTCTTTGTACCTCTGGTAGAATTCGGCTGTGAATCCGTCTGGTCCTGGACTTTTTTTGGTTGATAAGCTATTAATTATTGCCTCAATTTCAGAGCCTGTTACTGGTCTATTCAGGGATTCAACTTCTTCCTGGTTTAGTCTTGGGAGGCTGTATGTGTCCAGAAATTTATCCATTTCTTCTAGATTTTCTAGTTTATTTGCGTAGAGGTGTTTTTAGTATTCTCTAATGGTAGTTTGTATTTCTGTGGGATCGGTGGTGATATCCCCTGTATCATATTTGATTTATTTTTCTACATGAAAAAATTTGTCTTTTAGGAAGTTAAGGATTTTTTAAAAACCTTCATTGTGTCTTTTTAGCTTACAACATAAGGTTCAAAATTCTTAGTATGAAATTTTTAAATTATTCTCATTTTTTCTCAATAGTCTTGCAATTTCACATTCCATATTTCAACCACACTGAGAAATTTGCCATTCTCCCAACATATCATTCTCCTTAATGCTTCAGTATCTGCGCTCATATTGTTCTTTCTACTAGCAGCACCCTTTTTTATTGAATTTGATCTCAGTCTTCTAAGCCATAGGACCAAGAAAGCACCTAGCACATAGCAAATGGTCAATAAATATGTGTTGCATGTATGAATAAATTTGATCATACTTAATTTATTTTTGTTTTACATTTTCTAAATTGGAATCATAATTTATGCCTTGAGTACTTCACAGGCAAATTCAAGAAGGTTTTGTTAAAATTGATTAATTAAAATTTATGTCTTAATTAGCCTAACGTAGTGAACTTGTTCCATAAAACACAGATAGAACAGGAGCCAAAAATACTATGGGAAAATCATTAGAAAGTTGTTCTTAATAAATCAAAACAAAGGTAATTGAAGTGAAATGCAGGGTTCTAAACAACAGATACATTCTCAAAATATGACTTTCAGTACATTTCACAAAATAACTAAGTTTTCCCGCTACCCCTTTATGTTCCTGTCACTTTTAAAAATGATCTTTTGAGCTTTATTTGTAGCACAGCAAGTCTCAGAGAGTTGGAGAAGGGAAAAAATGCTTTAATCTTCATCTTTTTCCCTCTTATAGATTTATAGGTGGAAAGTTTTCTTAAAAGAAACAATGTATACACCACCTACCATCAGATCAGGAAAACAAAACAAGCGTTTAATTAACTGTCTTAGACAGAACATTGGAAAGGCCAACTCCAATTCTGTCTACCTATTCCCCAGCTTTGGGACAAATGTTGCCTTTATACTGCCCTCTTGTTTTCTCACAGTGTTTGTAATGCACGGAAAAAAAAATACTATTACATTGATTTTCAAATGCTATGTAGCTGCAGTTTTAAAAATAAACAGTTGTTTTTTGTAATCTTCAAAAATGCTTTAACTGATTAAAAGACTACTTCTCACATATAGATAATTATAAAAACATGTAATCAATTTTTATAACAAACCTAAGCACTATGTCATCATAAAAATGCACAACCCTTCAAAAGTAGTTTTGAGGATTTTTTACTAAAACCAGATTCTGAAACAAAAAATTAACTTCAAAAGACAGACTAAAGCAATGACCTCATGCTACTCACTACAAAGAGGCAACAGTAGACAATAGGGTCATCAAAATGAAAACCATGCCAAGCTAAATGAAAGGAAGACAATAAGCTTTCTTTCTTTCAAAAAAATGGTTTCATCAGCATTTCTAATGACATCTCAAGGGTTATAGATGAAAGGTAGACCAAATAGCTAGGTGGAGTTGTTGGTTAAATGTTTTATTTTGTTACAATTAATTTTCAAGTTAAAATTACTTAAAGTGGTCAAGTTCTAATTAAATATTAAAATTTTATTCAGTTATAGCCAACTTATAAATATTTACTGCTAGAAGCTTACAAACAACATGCTCAGTTTAATATTTTCCATTTGCAAAGTATGACACAATTGAAGAAACAAATGGGACCCAATTCATTATTTCTGGAGTATTATTTTATATTTATGAAGCTTGTTTTATAACTATCACCTTGATGTCTAGCACATATTAAGAGCTCAAATACTTAATGTTTTATTGATGTGCCATTGCATGGCAGATCTCCTGAGTGGTAGATTTAAATTTGCTCCCAAACTTCAATTTAATTCTCATTTCCTAGGCCATCAGCATTTCCAATAAACAAAACAAGGCTTTGGCATTTCTCTAAATAACGATAAAATGAGTTTACATGTTTGGAAAAGTTATTTTTCTGCATCAATAATGTTACACATTAATCTCAATAAGAGATTTTTTTCTTTTTCTCAAGTCAGTAGCCACATTCTGCTTTTTCTGTTTCAGATAACAGTCTTTCAAATTCGCGTCTTGGCCACAAAGAGTAGACATACTAAAAATCCATTCTTAATGCACTCTTCCCCTGTGACTGATGACTATTCCACAACCTCTCATCTCTACCAAAATCGGCAGCACTATCTCCCTGCTTCATTCTTTTTTTTTTCTTTTTATTTTATTTTATTTTCTTTTTCTTTTTTTTTATTATACTTTAAGTTTTAGGGTACATGTGCACATTGTGCAGGTTAGTTACATATGTATACATGTGCCATGCTGGTGCGCTGCACCCACTAACTCGTCATCTAGCATTAGGTATATCTCCCAGTGCTATCCCTCCCCCCTCCCCCCACCCCACCACAGTCCCCAGAGTGTGATATTCCCCTTCCTGTGTCCATGCGATCTCATTGTTCAATTCCCACCTATGAGTGAGAATATGCGGTGTTTGGTTTTTTGTTCTTGTGATAGTTTACTGAGAATGATGATTTCCAATTTCATCCATGTCCCTACAAAGGACATGAACTCATCATTTTTTATGGCTGCATAGTATTCCATGGTGTATATGTGCCACATTTTCTTACTCCCTGCTTCATTCTTAACTGGTGACATTTTTCCTATTTAAGTGAGAAAATACACATAATGATCCTTAGAAGACATGTTCCCCAAACTCCCAACACCATGTAACTGACCTGCTTACTTTTGTACTTATCTCTTTTAACTGCAGTCTAATATTATGAAAAAGTTTGTGTATCCATCTAGAGTCTTATATCAACTCTTCCACTTGCAGTTCTTCCCTTCTCATTTACTTATTCAGGTTTCCCTTGTAGGACATCACTCTACCCTGACTTTCCTCCATTGTTGCTAACCACTCTTTTTCAGTCTCACTGTGGATTCCTTCACATCTCCCATCCTCCAAATATTGGAAGTGTTCTTGGGCTCAAGCCATGGTGTCCTCTCACTTCTATCCTTATTTATCCTTAGTAATCTCTTCTGTTCTCAGTGAGACAGAGAATAGAAAACTCTCAAATGTGTAGCTCTGAAATGAATTTGTCTCCTGATTCCAGATTTTATGTAAGTCAACAGACTTGCATCTGTATTTGGACGTCTAATAGGCATCTGAAAATTATCTAGACCTTACTCTTGATCTTTCTTCTCAAAAACCTGTTTTTCTTCAAGTCTTTCCATTCCAAGGAAGTGGAAAGTTCAGCCTTCCAGCTTCTCTGGCCAAAAACTCCATCTTCTCTTTTTCTTTCTCATTACACATGAAATCAGGAAAACATGTTTCTCTACTTTAAAAATTTAGCAATTTCCAATCACCTTGTTAACACCCAGAAATACTGTAATAGCTTTATAACCAATCTACCTGCTTCTGCCCTTGTACATCTCACTTTTAATCTATTCCCAAAAGAGTAGTCAACTTATTCTTATGATTGGGTCAAAACCCTCCAGCTCTTTTCCATATCACTCAAAGTAGAAATCAAAATGGATAATGATCTGGTGCTTCCTGCTGCTTTCTTTGAATCCAGTGCTGGCTAGACACATCAACCTTCTAGCTACTCTGTCCTCCAGGCTCTTGCACTTGTAGTTCTCTTTGGCTTGAACATTCTGGCCACAGATATCTACACAGTTTATTCCCCTCTCTATTTCAGATCTCTGATCCAATTCCATCTTTCTTAATATAGTCTTTTATACCTATTAAATTTGCAATCTCTTTCTTTGCCATTTCACATTTCTCATTTCCAACCATTTTAAGTAGATTTTATTGTGTTATGCTAGATATTTTACTTATGAACTTTTTATTTTCTCCCTACAAGAAAGTGAGCTATAGGAGGATAAAGACTTTTCTTTATCCCACTTATGAATATATCCCCATCGCCTAGAAATGTTACCTGCACCTACTAGGCATTCTAAAGTGCAAAACCTCTTGGATTTGCAAAGACATGGAATCAACCCAAACGCCCATCAGTGATAGACTAGATAAAAAAATGTGGTACATAAACACCATGGAATACTATGCAGCCATAAAAAGGAATGAGAGCGTGTTCTTTGCAGGGACACGAATGGATCTGGAAGCCATTATCCTTAGCAAACTAACACAGGAACAGAAAACCAAACACCATATATTTTCATGTATAAGTGGGAGATGAAAAATGAGAACACATGGACACAGGGAGAGAAAATAACACACACTGTGGCCTGTGGCAAGGGTGTGAGGGTAGGGAGAGCATCAGGAAAAATAGGTAATGCATGCTGGGCTTAGTACTTAGGTGATGGGTTGATAGGTGCAACAAAACACCATGGCACGTGGTTACCTATGGAACAAACCTGCACATCCTGCACATGTACCCTGGAACTTAAAATAAAAATTACTCCATGTGCAGTTATATAGGTAAAAGACCCCTTGGATATACACACATGTAGTATATATAAGTTTAGTGTTACACTGGTTCAGAATAAAAAGTCTCAGAGACTATACTTTGTTTTATAAGGGGTTCACTAAAATATAAACAAAAATAATTTCAAATGTACAATATAATATGTGTTTATTTGGGAGACTACAGTGGACTTCTGAGATAAATTATGAGATAAATTGAAAATATATTTTAAAATGCTATTTTATGCATGTTTCAAAGGGAACATTTAACTATGTCTGTGACAATCAAAATAAAATCATAAAAAATTCAGTAAATGTAATTGAGTTTTGCTTTCTTTGAAAGTATATTTGTTAATAATCACAATACCTCTTTAATGGATATTTGACTACATTTTAAATAACATTAAAATTAATTTCCTAGCATTAAAATGTTTGTCAACTATATCATTTTAAACTTAATCATATATTTGTACTTAGTATGACTCTAGAGGTATTCTGTAGTCTTTTTATCACTTTAATCTACTAAACAATGTAGACAGTATACTGTATATCACCAAGAAGTGTTCACAAGTTGTTTTTTCCCTCCTTCTGAAAAATATTATGTCTGTGTTTTAGTGTATATGTTTGTGTCTTTTGGGCTATAGGTGTACATCTGGAATTTGCTAGCATTAGCACACAGAAATGTACACTCAAGTGATTTGAAGCAACTTTGGTCTGTTGTCAAATTTAATAGACATTTTCAGTTTATTATGTATACAAATATTTATTATATATAAATATATACAAAAATATAAAATATATAAACACATAAATATAAAATGTTATATATAGAT
The DNA here is from genome assembly GCF_000001405.40 of Homo sapiens. Lineage (NCBI taxonomy): Eukaryota > Metazoa > Chordata > Mammalia > Primates > Hominidae > Homo > Homo sapiens. Next base: position 89,277,174 of record NC_000007.14, read on the forward strand.
ACAAAATTTTACATACACACAGAAGAGAAATTCCTCAAATGCAGAGCTAATGCACCAATAAACAAACATTTGTGAGTATATTTAGCTTATTAGTCATATCTGATGCTAAGATCTACCATCAAAAACATCTAAAGGAGTTTTTTTCTTTTTTTTTTCTTTTTTTTATTATTATACTTTAAGTTTTAGGGTACATGTGCACAATGTGCAGGTTAGTTACATATTTATACATGTGACATGCTGGTGCGCTGCACCCACTAACTTGTCATCTAGCATTAGGTATATCTCCCAATGCTATCCCTCCCCCCTCCCCCCTCCCCCCTCCCCCCTACCCCCACCCCACAACAGTCCCCAGAGTGTGATGTTCCCCTTCCTGTGTCCAGGTGTTCTCATTGTTTAATTCCCACCTATGAGTGAGAATATGCGGTGTTTGGTTTTTTGTTCTTCCGATACTTTACTGAGAATGATGATTTCCAATTTCATCCATGTCCCTACAAAGGACATGAACTCATCATTTTTTATGGCTGCATAGTATTCCATGGTGTATATGTGCCACATTTTCTTAATCCCATCTATCATTTTTGGACATTTGTGTTGGTTCCAAGTCTTTGCTACTGTTAATAGTGCCGAAATAAACATACGTGTGCATGTGTCTTTATAGCAGCATGATTTATAATCCTTTGGGTATATACCCAGTAATGGGATGGCTGGGTCAAATGGTATTTCTAGTTCTAGGTCCATGAAGAGTCGCCACACTGACTTCCACAATGGTTGAACTAGTTTACAGTCCCACCAACAGTGTAAAAGTGTTCTTATTTCTCCACATCCTCTCCAGCACCTGTTGTTTCCTGACTTTGTAATGATTGCCATTCTAACTGGTGTAAGATGATATCTCATTGTGGTTTTGATTTGCATTTCTCTGATGGCCAGTGATGGTGAGCATTTTTTCATATGTTTCTTGGCTGCATAAATGTCTTCTTTTCAGAAGTGTCTGTTCATATCCTTTGCCCACTTTTTGATGGGGTTGTTTGTTTTTTTCTTGTAAATTTGTTGGAGTTCATTATAGATTCTGGATATTAACCCTTTGTCAGATGAGTAGGTTGTGAAAAATTTCTCCCATTTTGTAGGTTGCCTGTTCACTCTGCTGGTAGTTTCTTTTGCTGTGCAGAAGCTCTTTAGTTTAATTAGATCCCATTTGTCAATTTTGGCTTTTGTTGCCATTGCTTTCGGTGTTTTAGACATGAAGTCCTTGCCCGTGCCTATGTCCTGAATGGTAATGCCTAGGTTTTCTTCTAGGGTTTTTATGGTTTTAGGTCTAACGTTTCAGTCTTTAATGCATCTTGAATTGATTTTTGTATAAGGTGTAAGGAAGGGATCCAGTTTCAGCTTTCTACATATGGCTAGCTAGTTTTCCCAGCACCATTTATTAAATAAGGAATCCTTTCCCCATTGCTTGTTTTTCTCAGGTTTGTCAAAGATCAGATAGTTGTAGATATGTGGCGTTATTTCTGAGGGCTCTGTTCTGTTCCATTGATCTATATCTCTGTTTTGGTACCAGTACCATGCTGTTTTGGTTACTGTAGCCTTGTAGTATAGTTTGAAGTCAGGTAGCATGATGCCTCCAGCTTTGTTCTTTTGGCTTAGGATTGACTTGGCGATGCAGGCTCTTTTTTGGTTCCATATGAACTTTAAAGTAGTATTTTCCAATTCTGTGAAGAAAGTCATTGGTAGCTTGATGGGGATGGCATTGAATCTGTAAATTACCTTGGGCAGTATGGCCATTTTCACGATATTGATTCTTCCTATCCATGAGCATGGAATGTTCTTCCATTTGTTTGTATCCTCTTTAATTTCATTGAGCAGTGGTTTGTAGTTCTCCTTGAAGAGGTCCTTCACATCCCTTGTAAGGTGGATTCCTAGGTATTTTATTCTCTTTGAAGCAATTGTGAATGGGAGTTCACTCATGATTTGGCTTTCTGTTTGTCTGTTATTGGTGTATAAGAATGCTTGTGATTTTTGCACATTGATTTTGTATCCTGAGACTTTGCTGAAGTTGCTTATCAGCTTAAGGAGATTTTGGGCTGAGACAGTGGGGTTTTCTAGATATACAATCATGTTGTCTGCAAACAGGGACAATTTGACTTCCTCTTTTCCTAATTGAATACCCTTTATTTCCTTCTCCTGCCTAATTGCCCTGGCCAGAATTTCCAACACTATGTTGAATAGGAGTGGTGAGAGAGGGCATCCCTGTCTTGTGCCAGTTTTCAAAGGGAATGCTTCCAGTTTTTGCCCATTCAGTATGATATTGGCTGTGGGTTTGTCATAGATAGCTCTTATTATTTTGAAATACGTCCCATCAATACCTAATTTATTGAGAGTTTTTAGCATGAAGCGTTGTTGAATTTTGTCAAAGGCCTTTTCTGCATCTATTGAGATAATCTTGTGGTTTTTGTCATTGGTTCTGTTTATATGCTGGATTACGTTTATTGATTTTCATATGTTGAACCAGCCTTGCATCCCAGGGATGAAGCCCACTTGATCATGGTGGGTAAGCTTTTTGATGTGCTGCTGGATTCGGTTTGCCAGTATTTTATTGAGGATTTTTGCATCAATGTTCATCAAGGATATTGGTCTAAAATTCTCTTTTTTGGTTGTGTCTCTGCCAGGCTTTGGTATCAGGGTGATGCGGGCCTCATAGGATACCCAGGAATTGAACTCAGCTCTGCACCAAGCAGACCTAATAGACATCTACAGAACTCTCCACCCCAAATCAACAGAATATACATTTTTTTCAACACCACACCACACCTATTCCAAAATTGACCACATAGTTGGAAGTAAAGCTGTCCTCAGCAAATGTAAAAGAACAGAAATTATAACAAACTATCTCTCAGACCACAGTGCAATCAAACTAGAACTCGGGATTAAGAAACTCACTCAAAACCACTTAACCACATGGAAACTGAACAACCTGCTCCTGAAAGACTACTGGGTACATAACGAAATGAAGGCAGAAATAAAGATGTTCTTTGAAACCAATGAGAACAAAGACACAACATACCAGAATCTCTGGGACACATTCAAAGCAGTGTGTAGAGAGAAATTTATAGCACTAAATGTCCACAAGAGGAAGCAGGAAAGATCCAAAATTGACACTCTAACATCACAATTAAAAGAACTAGAAAAGCAAGAGCAAACACATTCAAAAGCTAGCAGTAGGCAAGAAATAACTAAAATCAGAGCAGAACTGAAGGAAATAGAGACACAAAAAACCCTTCAAAAAATTAATGAATCCAGGAGCTGGTTTTTTGAAAGGATCAACAAAATTGATAGACCGCTAGCAAGACTAATGAAGAAAAAGAGAAGAATCAAATAGACGCAATAAAAAATGATAAAGGGGATATCACCACCGATCCCACAGAAATACAAACTACCATCAGATAATTCTACAAACACCTCTATGCAAATAAACTAGAAAATCTAGAAGAAATGGATAAATTCCTCGACACATACACTCTCCCAAGACTAAACCAGGAAGAAGTTGAATCTCTGAATAGACCAATAACAGTAGCTGAAATTGTGGCAATAATCAATGGCTTACCAATCAAAAAGAGTCCAGGACCAGATGGATTCACAGCCGAATTCTACCAGAGGTATAAGGAGGAACTGGTACCATTCCTTCTGAAACTATTCCAATCAATAGAAAAAGAGGGAATCCTCCCTAACTCATTTTATAAAGGAGTTTTTTTCAAGATGTTTATATTTTAATGTCTGTAACATTAAGTCTAATCTTTGTTCTACCATCAGTGTTTTGTAGTAAATTTCAAAAATATCATGACCATCTGCACCATTCTTTCACTTCATGATTGATGTTGAAAATTTAACAGCATAATTGTATTCTGAAAAGGTAGTCATATCATATATCCTGTTGTTCATGGATTTATATTGTGGAATGCATTACTTTAAGGTATTCTTCTTTAAGACCTGTATATAATTATGATTGCTATAGATGATAAGTTGGCATGGTTATAAATTTATTATCAAAGTTGGGTTTAAAATATTAATTAATAATCTTTTATTTTGGCTCCCAGGGGAGAAAAAACCAATAGCTCTGTATTAATTATTTTATGAGAGAGTCTTACAAATTTTGAAGAACTGCATTTTCATCAGCATTTTCTCAAATGATGTGAAAACATTTAAAGGTTACTAACTAGTGCTACATTGCAGTAGAACCCATAAGAAATTATATGTCTGATATTAACATGAATTTATTTCAACCAGAATAATTTAGGATGATTTGTAAAAATTCATAAAATTAGGAGTTTTTTAGATAATACAATTAAAAATGTAAAATAATAAAAACAACTATCGTTTCTGCTCTATATGATGTTTATAAGCCTAGATTACTACACAACTCTCTGCTTGAAGCATATGGCAAAGTCAAGTATAATATGAATATGGATAACAACAAAAAGTGCCATGGCAAGAATCAAAATGAAATAAATATCTCTGTAGACTTTATAAACAAGGTCTTTCTGTGTTGCCCAGACTGAAGTGTAGTGGTTGGATCATTGTCTATAGACTATAAACAGGTAAGAAACCCAAAGTAAGATATAGTATTAATGGGCTCTGGATCTAAAAGCAAGCAAAAGTACTTCCAGAATTGTAAAGTAAAGGATAATAAATATAATCCACTCAGACAGAGTCCAAAAGTCTCAGCTTAACATGTGGCCCTGGGGTAGGCTTTCCCACAGTAGAAAGAAGAGAGCCTAAAACAATGTAACCTTTTGGGAGGCCGAGGCGGGCGGATCACGAGGTCAGGAGATCGAAACCATCCCGGCTAAAACGGTGAAACCCCGTCTCTACTAAAAATACAAAAAATTAGCCGGGCGTGGTGGCGGGCGCCTGTAGTCCCAGCTACTTGGGAGGCTGAGGCAGGAGAATGGTGTGAACCTGGGAGGCGGAGCTTGCAGTGAGCCGAGATCCCGCCACTGCACTCCAGCCTGGGCGACAGAGCGAGACTCCGTCTAAAAAAAAAAAAAAAAAAAATGTAACTTAAACAGTGGCAAAGCACAAATCTGGTTACTGCTTTTAACCAGATCCCAGCCTATGGAAGCTACCAAATTCATGACTATGAAATGACACATGTGCCTATGGTATTGCAAATATCATCAACACAGAGAGGCTAATTACTACCTAAGACATGATTTGGATGGAGGCCCCAAGGACAGGTAATTTAAAAACTTATTTTAAAAAAGTTGACAAAAATAACAAAACAACAACAGCAAAAAAAGACTTTCCACTCAACGTGAACCTCAAAATAAAATGCCAAAACAAGTAAGAAATCAAATAATAAATGTGATGGGCTGAATAATACCCCCTCTCCTCTTAAACAGGAGGTCCTAATCTCTGCAATCTGTATATGCTATCTTATTTGGAAAAATGGTCTTTGCTGCTGTGATCAAAATGTGTGTCTTGAGGGGGTACGATTAACCTGGATTCAAGGGGGTTGTAAATAAAGTAAAATATGTCCTTATAATAAGAGGCAGAGGGATATTTGATGATACACAGAAGAGCCTCTTTTCTGGTGCGATCATGGAGGCAGACACTGGAGTGATGCAGTCACAAGCCAGGGAATGCCAGCAGCCACCAGAACCTCTAAGAGGCAAGACCCAGAGTTTCCCCTAGACCCTCTGAAGGAAGCGTGGCCCTGCCAATATCTTGATTTGAGCCCAGTGAAACTAATTTTATAATCCTGGCTGCCAGAACTTTGAAAGAATAAATTTCTGTTGTTTTAAGCTACCAAGTTTGTAGTGATATGTTATATCAGCCATAGGAAATTAATACAATAAGAGATACAGCTAAGAAAACCAATCAGAACATGAAATTAAATAAAATTAATTGTCTCCATAATGAATTCATACTCTGAAAAGACAAAAATTTGAAATATGTTCAGGATACTTTAAACATTCGATAAATTAACAACAGAAGGTCCTGAAAGTAATCCCAATGTTGTCATAAAAATTATTTTATAAAAAAAGAAAATTAAAATATTCAAGAAGAATCTCTAAAACTGACACTACTGAAGGAAATATTAATAAATTAAAATGTGGTATTGAGAAGCATTAAAAAAAGAGATGAAAGTTTTGTAAAAAACAGTTAAGCATCAGGTGGTTCCAATGATCACATAATACTTGGTATCACACGTATGCTTGCAGTAAAAAAACTATAAATGTGTATGTGTATTAGAGCCCATTAACACTATATCTTGCTTTGTGTTTCTGATGTATTTATAGTGTGTGGACTACAAATGAGCCACTGCACTCCAGCCTGGGTGACACAGCAAGAACCTGTCTATATAATCTGCAGGGCTATTTATTTCATTTGATCCCTGCTGTGTCACTTTTTGTTGTTACTATTTATATTCACATTGTACTCGGCTTTGCCATGTGTTTAAATCAGAGTGTTGTGTCATGATTTCAGCTTATAATATATCATCTAGACCAGAAATTATAATTGTTTTTATTATTTTATATTTTTAATTTTATTAACTAAAAATTCCCTAATATTATGAATTTATACAAATTATCCTATATATACATACATATACAGTTGACCCTAGGTAGCATAGATTAGCATTGCATGGGGCCACTTATACATAGATTTTTTTCAGTAAATTTATTGAAACATTTTTGGAGACTTTTGATGGTTTAAAAAACTTCAAGTCTCAGACATACTATGTAACTTAGAAATATCAAAAAGGTTAAGAAAAAGTTAGATATGTCATAAATGCATAAAATACAAGGAGATACTTGTCTATTTTATCATTTACTGCCATAAAATATACACAAATCTGTTATAAAATGTAAAAATTTATCAAAATGTACACACACAGACCATACATAGCCCCATTCACAGTTGAGGTAAATGTAAACAAACACAAAGATGCATTATTAAATCATAACTGAATAAAAGTGACCGTAGTACATACTATATTGCTGTAATAATTTTATAGCAACTTCCTGTTGCTATTGCAGTGAGCACAAATATTGTAAGTATCCACTTAAAAATGCCTTGTGATGCTGATCATCTTCATGTGGGAAGTTCATCTCTCCAATTGCCTATTGCAGTAAAAAACGATATCTCTCAGTTCTCACATATTTTTATTGTGTTCAGTGCTGTACCTTGAGTAACCATGGGACCCATATGAAGTAGCACTAGTGATGCCAAAAGTGCTCTGCAAAGGAAAAATCATGATATTATAGGAAAAATTTGAATTGCTTGACATGTACCATAGATTGAGGTCTGCAGCGTGGTTGCCCACTATTTGATGATAAATGAACACAGCATAAGGACCGCTGTAAAAAAAGAAAGAAAGAAAAGGAAACTCACAAAGCCATCATTGCAGCTACCTCATCAGCTGGAGAAACCTTGCAGTTTTTGTGAACTACCATTTTTATCTCCTCTGGAAAGTGCAACTTTTATGTGGGGGCAGGATTGCTATAAGAAAGGCACATCTGTAGACTCTAACAGGATTTGGAAAAAAAATAAAGTTATTATATGATGACTTCAAGCAAAAGTAAGGTGAAAGATCTAAAGCTAGCTAATTTAATGCTAACAAAGGATGGTGTGATAATTTTAGAAACATTTTTGATTAAAAAAAAAATCAAGATATCAGGACAAATGGCTTCTGGCAACCAAGTGGCAGCAGATGAGTTCTGAGGGGCCATTAAGAAAATAATTGGAGGCAGGGCATGGCAGCTCATACCTGTAATCTCAGCACTTTGAGAGGCGGAGGCAGGAGGATTACTTGAGCCCAGGAGAGCAAGGTTAGTCTGAGTAATGTAGTGAGACCCTGTCTCCACTAAATAAAAAAATTTAAATTTAAATTTAAAAAAAATAGCCAGGCATGGTGGTGCACTCCTATAGTCCCAACTATTTGGAAGGCTGAGGCAGGAGGATAGCTTGAGTCCTGGAGGTTGAGGCTGCAGTGAGCTGTGATCATGTGACTGTACTCAAGCTTGGGCAACAGAGCAAGACCCTGTCACAAAAAAATAAAAGAAGAAAATAGGCTGGGCACGGTGGCTCACGCCTGTAATCCCAGCACTTTGGGAGCCCGAGGCGGGTGGATCATGAGGTCAGGAGATCGAGACCATCCTGACTAACACGATGAAACCCCGTCTCTACTAAAAATACAAAAAAATTAGCTGGGCATGGTGGCGGGTGCCTGTAGTCCTAGCTACTTGGGAGGCTGAGGCAGGAGAATGGCATGAACCTGGGAGGCAGAGCTTGCAGTGAGCCGAGATCATGCCACTGCACTCCAGCCTGGGCGAGAGAGCGAGACTCTGTCTCAAAAAAAAAAAAAAAAAAAAAAAAAAGAAGAAGAAGAAGAAGAAGAAGAAGAAGAAAATAAAATGATTATTGAAGAGAAGGGATATCTGCCTGAACAGATTTTTAATTCAGACAAAAGTGCCCTATTTTAGAAAAAAAAAGCCACAAAGGACAATTATTAGTAAGAAAGAGAAATGAGTACCAGAATTTAAGATAAGAAGGAATAAGTTTACTTTTCTGTGCAAATGCAGTTGGGTTTGTAATCAGGACTTCCCTTATCCACAATGCTTTTAAACCTCAAGTCTTGAAAGAAAAGATAGACACCAGCTGCCAGTTTTTGTTTTACAAGAAAACCTGGACAAAGCCTCCACCTCTTTTGCCTCTGTCACCCTGAGACAGCAATACCAATCCCTCTTCTTCTTCCTTCTCCTCAGCCTACTCAATATGGGCACAATGAGGATGAAGATTTTTATGATGATCCAATTCCACTTAATGAACACTTTTTCTGGATTGGTTCAATCAGTGTTTTCTCCCTGAAGTCAGGAAGGTGTTTCCACTAAGAGACTACATTTCTAAAGTTCTTTTGATGTTGAAAAATGCCCCTGGCTTCCCAGAATCCCATGAATTCAGCAACTAAGGTGTTGAGGTGGTCTGCTTGTCCTCAAATACAGTGTCTCTTCTGTAGCCTCTAAATCGGGACTTTAGGACTTTATCATTAGGACTTTAAGGCTCATTACACACAATCCTCTATGGAAAGGACAAAGTGCAATTCTGTCTCAAAAGAAAAGAAGAAGAAGAAGAAAAGAAAAAAGCTGTCAACAGTATGAAAGATAAACCTGAAAGTGAGAACAACATGAAAGTCTGAAAGAATTATATCATTGAAGATGCCATCATTGTTATAGAAAAAGCTGTGAAAGCCACCAAGCCTGAAACAATTAATTACTACTGGAGAAAACTGCTGAAATATTGTGCATGACTTCATAGGATTTACAACAGAGCCAGTCAAGAAATGACAAAATAGACTGTGAATATGGCAAAATACGGAGTCGGTGAGGTTTTCAAGATATCGATCCTGGGGAAATTCAATAGCTAACAGATACCAATGAGAGGAGTTAACAGAAGACAACTTGCTGAAGATGAATGCTTCCAAGCTAATGCTGGACAATGAGGAAGAAGACATAGAAGAAGCAGTGCCAGAAAAAGAATGACCTTAGACAATCTGTCTGAAGGGCTCTGATTATTCAAGACCACTTTTGTGACATGGGCCCTTCTATCATATGAGCATTGAAACTAAAGAAAATGGCAGAAATATTGATACTAAATAAAAATATTTTTTAGAGCAATTGAGAAAGCAAAATATAGACAGAAATACAATGTATTTCCATAAATTTACACTAGGTGTTCCGGTCTCTCCTGCCTCCCCTTCCACCTTCTCCACTTCTTTTGCCTCTGTCACATTGAGATAGCAATGCCGACCCCTCCTTTTCCTCCTTCTCAGCCTACTCAATATGGACACAATGAGGATGAAGATTTTTATGGTGATCCACTTCCACTTAATGAATAGTAAATATATTTTATTTTTCTTATAATTTTCTTGATAACAGTTTATTTTTCCAGCTTTAAGAATATAATACATACTATATATGACATACAAAATATGTGTTAATGAATGTTTATATTATTTGTAAGGCTTCTGGTAAAGAGTAGGCTATTAGTAGTTATGTTTTTGGGGAATCAGAAGTTATACTCAGCATGGGGTTGGTACCCCTAACCCCTGCATTTTTCCATGGCCAACTATATATATACATATGTATACATACACGTGCACACACACGTATGTATGTATTCAGACATTAGAGAGCTCAAGGCTATTGTCTTTGTGAGAAAGGAGGTAAGTGACATGAATCTCAAATTTTCTCAGATTTTCTCCCTGAAGTCATTTTCTGAAGGTTGTGGTGCCAAAAAATAAAGCTAACTCTAGCAGCAACAATCTTGCAGGGTGTCAGAGACTAATAGTAAATTTCTGGACTATTAAATAAACTAATGGTTAACGGATAAACTATTTGTTGGGGGCACCTAAAGAAAACTCTAGAAGACTGGATAGGATAGATATTTCCCTCAGGCCTTGGCTAACTTTTGAGTTGCTCACAAATGTAGTGAGATTCCATAGTACTAGATAAAACAGTCAGACTAGGAGGCTGAGAAATGAGTAAAAGTTACACAATGCTGAGGAGACACTAAAATTTGGATCCAGCCAAAGGGAGAAACCTCAGTGAACACTGGGCATTTATGTGCAAACTCAGAAAAAAAATCTTGAAATAAGATCAAATATCTAGCAGTAAGAACAATGCTAAAATAAGCTTTCCCTAACAAAGCCTAAAACTAAGTCTCAACAGCATCAAAGTATTTCAGATAATTTAATAGATTTTCAGGAAAAAAAAAACCACATACCACTTTCTAGCAAAAGATAAATATCCAGAGCCTGTACAGTATATCATTACAATGTTCAGCATACCATCAAAATTACTAGATATGCAAAGAATACAACCAAAGATGATCTAGATATTACAGTTAACAGATAAGGGCTTCAAAATAATTATGCTTAATGAGTTGAAAAAAGAAAAATATGAGTAAAATCTATGTATGAAAGTGTAGTAATTTACACAGCAGAAGGTAAGAATACTGTATTTAAATAGAAAATGTTTATTGTGACGCATAAAGAGAAAAAAATGGAAAGAACCGATAAGAATATGAAAATGTGGGTAGAACACAGTCAGAAGATCTAACAGATATATAAGGAGTTCCAGAAAGAAAGAAGAGAGAGAAAGGGACAGAATTAATATCTGAAGAAATAGTAGCTGAGAATTTTTCAAATCTGATAAAATATATTATCTCATGGATTCAAGCAACTAAGCAAACCATCAAAACAATAAATACAGCAAAAACTACAACTAAGCACAAAAGAACACAGCTGACAAGATCTACGAAAAAGAGAAGACCTTATAAGACAGGTTACTTTTAACGATGCAATAATCAACAATAAAGCTTTTGGCTTACTTTCTAGCAGTAAACATAAAATAATGGAAACACATCTTTAAAATGTTGAAAGAACAAATAATTGTCAACCATAATTTGACACTCAGATGAATCCTTCAAAAATATTGTAAAAATAATTACATTTCAAGAAAACAAAAAAATAAGACTGAAGGGATTTTCGGCAGCCCACATGTGCATAAAAATACTAAAGGGAATGATTCAGGATAAAGGTTAATTATGGCATGTAGATGCATGAACATGTAGAAAAAAGCGAAGAACATCAGAAAGGGTAAATATATTGGTAAATATAAAAGATGATTGACTTTTGAAGAAGGAACAATAAAATATATTTTTGTATCTCTAAAGTATGATAATAATAGGTCAATGAGAAGAAATAGAGTTTCATTATGGAAAAGCAAAATATTATTAAAAGTTTCTTGCATTGTTTTTAGAAGTGATAAAAATGCTAACATATGGTAGACCATAATAAGTTAAGAGTGCATACTTTAATCTCTAGTGTGAATACTAAAAGAATAATGAAACAAGACACAAATTAAAAGAAAATAGAGGAGGTAAAATGTAACGATAAAATGATTTGGTTAATCTATTACAATGGTAAGAAATGAAGAATGAAGAAACAAAACAGGTAGAAGAAATTTTAAATATTAGCAAAGTAGTAGCCATAAACTCAACTGCAGTTGTCGTTACGTTAAATATAATGGAGGAGGAGTGCAGCAAGATGGCCAAATAGAAGGCTCCGTTGATCGTCTGCCCCATAGGAACACCAAATTCAACAACTGTCTACGCAAAAAAAAACCAACAAACAACAACAACAAAAAACCTTCTTAAGAATAAAAATCAGGTGAGCACTCACAGTATCTGGTTTTAAATTAATATCCCTGAAAGAGGTACTGAAGAGGATAGAAAAGGTAGTCTTAAATTGCTAATGCCACCCCTTTCCCACCCCTAGCAGCAGCCATGTGGTACAGAGAGAATCTGTGTACTTGAGAGAGGGAGAGTGCAGTCATTGAGAGACATTGCATTAAGCTCAGTGCTGCCCTGTCATAGCAAAAAGCAAAACCCAGCTGAACTCAGCTGGTGCCCATTCATGGAGGGAGCATTTAGACCAGCCCTACACGAAGGGGAATCACTCATCTCAGTGGTGGGAACTTGAGTTGCTGCAAGCCTTGTCACCATGGGCTAAAGTACTCTGTGGCACTAAATAAACTTAAAAAGTAGTCTAGGCCACAAAGACTCCAACTCTTAGGCAAGGCCTAGTGCTGAGCTGAGCTCAGAGCCAGTGGACTTGGGGGACATATGACCTACTAAGATACCAGACAGGTGGCTAAGAAAGCATTTGCACCATCCCTTTCCCAATCCCAGGCAGCACAGCTTGTGGATCCAAGAGAGATTTCTTCCTTTCACTTGAGGAAGGGAGAGAGAAGAGTAAAGAGGACTTTGTCTTGCATCTTGGATACCAATTCAGCCAAAGTAGGATTGGACACCGGTCAGGATTGTGAGGCCACCCTTCCAGTCCCTAACTGGGATGATGACATTTCTAGACATACCCTAGGCCAGAAGGAAATCTGCTGCCTTGAAAGGGAGGAACCAGTTTCAGGAGGATCTATCACTTCCTAACTAAAGAGCACATGGGCACGGAATAACAGGCAGCAATACCCAGTTAGTATCAAAAACCTTTGATGAGACTCTGAGATGTGCTGGCTTCAGGTGAGACCCAGCACATTCCAAGATCTGATGGCTACAGTGAGAGAGAACTTCTGCTTGAGAAAAGCAGAAGGAAAAGCAAAGGGAACACTGTCTTGCACCTTAGGCACCATCCCAGCCACAATGGAGTATAGCAAAAGTGGGCTCTTGGGGTCCCCGATTTCAAGCTTTGACTCTTTGATGGCATTTTCTGGGCCTTCCTGGAGCCAGAGAGCAGCCCAATTCACTGAAAGGTGGGTCCCAGGCCTGGCAGTATTCACCACAAGCTGACTAAAGAGCCCTTTGGTCTTAACTGAACATCATCAGTAGCCTGGCAGTACTCCCCGGGGGTCTGTAGTGGTGGTAGCCATTACACCTTTGGTAGTAGAGGCTCCTTTGACTGTAGAAAGGAGAGGTAAAAGGGGGAAGGACTGTGTCTTGTGGTTTGAGTGCCAGCTCAGCCACGGTACAACAGAACACTAGATAATTTTCTAAAGTTTCTGACCAGTCCCTGGCTCCTGGATGGCATCACTTCTGAGAGCCTTGAATGAATATAGGTGATAGTTGGGTAGTAGTTACAGTGAGCCTTGGGTAAGACCCAGTGCTGTGCTGGCTTCAAGTAAGACCTAGTAGAGTCCCAGTGGCCACAGGGGTACTACAGTCACTCCAACCCAGCTACAAGTGACTCACCACAGAGAGACTCTGTTTTTTTGGAAGAACATAATGGAAGAAATCAAGAGTCTCTAACTGGTAATCCAGAGAATTTTTCTAGATTTTATCCAAGACTACTGTGGCAGTACCTCTATAGGTCTGCAAGAACCACAGTGTTACTGGGCTTGGAGTCCCACCTAATACAGATACAGCTTAGATCACAACACCCAAGTCCTGTCAAATACCTGAAAAATCTTCCCAAGAAGGGCAGGTATGAAGAAGTCCAGACTGTGAAGAATACAATGAGTACCCAACCCTTCAATGCCCAGACACTGACAAATATCCACAAGCATTGACACCATCTAGAAAATATCACCTCACCAAACAAACTAAATAAGACAGAAACCAATCATATTGAAACAGTGATATGTGACTTTTCAGACAGAGAATTTAAAATAGTTGTTTTTAGTAAACTCATAGACATTCATAACACAGAGAAGGAATTCAGAATTCTATAAGGAAAATTTAACAAAGAGATTGAAATAATTATAAAGAATTAAGCAGAAATTCTTTAGTTGAAAAATGCAATTAATGTACTGAAGAATGGATCAGTCTTTTAATATCAGAATTGATCAAACAGAAGAAAGAATTAGTGAACTTGAAGACAGGTTATTTAAAAATACACAGAGGACACAAAAGAAAAAAGAATAAAAAAGGATGAAGCACACTTACAAAATCTATAAAATAGCCTCAGAGGGGCAAGTCTAAAAGTGATTGGACTTAAAGAGGAAAGAGAGAGAGGGATTAGGGTAGAAAGTTTATTCAAATGGGTAATAATAGAGAACTTCCTAATCCTAGAGAAAGATATTAATATCGAAGTACAAGAAAGTTATACAATACCAAACAGGTTTTACCCAAAGAAGACTATCTCAAGGCATTTAACAATCAAACTCCCAAAGGTCAAGGATAAGGAAAGGATCCTAAAAGCAGCAAGAGAAAAGAAACAAGTAACATACAATGGAGTTCTAATATGATTGGCAGAAGACTTTTTAGGGAAACCTTACATGACGAGAAAGACAGGCATAAGATATTTAAAGTGCTGAAAGAAAAACAAAATACTTTCATCCTAAAAGAGTAAAAAATTCCTAGTGAAAAAAATTCTTCAAAAATGAAAGAGAAATAAGGACTTTCCCAGACAAACAAAAGCTGAGGGATATTACCAACACCATACCTGTCTGTCCTACAAGAAATAATAAAGGAACTTTTTCAAACTGAAATAAATGGATGTTAATGAGCAATAAGAAATCATGTGAAGGTATAAAACTCACTGGTAACAGTAAGTACACAGAGAAACACAGACTATTTTAACACTGCAACTGTGGTGTATAAACTACTCTCATCTTAAGTAGAAAGACAAAAAGTTGAATGAATCAAAAATAATAGCTACAACAACTTTTCAAGACATAGTACAATAAGATATAAATAGAAACAAAAAAGTTACAAAGCAGGAGACAAAGTTAAGGTGTAGAATTTTTATTAGTTTTCTTTTTGCTTGTTCATTTGTTTGTTTATGCAGTGTTACATTTTTATCAGCTTAAAATAATATTTTATAATACAGTATTTGCAAGCCTCATGGTAACTTCAAATCTACAAACATACAACAAATACACAAAAAATAGAAAGCAAGAAATTAAATCATACCATGAGAAAAAATCACCTTCACTGAAAATAGACAAAAAAAGAAGTAAAGAACGAAGACCACAAAACAACCAGAAAACAAATTAAAAAATGGCACTAGTGAATCCTTACTTACCAATAACATCGAATGTAAATGTTATTTACATTCTACAAATTGTTAAAATTATCTTAATGTAATGAAATAATTGGATGAAAGGTCAACATAATAAAAATTAATTGTATTTTTATATATTAGTAATAAACAACTGGACTTTTTTTTGTAACATCTGAAATAGCATCAAAAAACCTAAAAACTCAGGAACAAATTTAACCAAAGGTATCTAGGACCCCACACTTAAAACTATAAAACAGTGGTGAGAAAAATTTAGAGACTTAAATAAATGGAAGGATATTTCATAGTTATAATTAAAAGCATGAGTCCTGTGATTATATACATCTGTAGTTATTTCTACTCTATTGTTTCATGCTTTACATTTGTTACATTTTTCTGGAGGTCATTTTTTATCTTCTGAACTTTTGAATGTTTTAATTTTTTTTAATGATTTGGAAGTTATATATCATTTTTTCTATTCATTCTACAGTTACCCACAGTATTTAGCCAACATGTTTAATTATACACTTTTCTTTTAGCTTTTTTGAAATGTATAATACGTTATTAATAAGTATGGTCAAATGTTCTCACCACAAAAAAGATGAGTATTTGAGGTGATGGATACGTTAATTAGATTGATTTGATAATTCCACCATATATACATGTATGAAAATATGACATTTACTCCAAAAGTTATACAATTGTTATTTGTCCCAATTAAAAATAAAATAAAAGTAAATTTTTAAATAAATAAACTGTTTTCTTTCAATGTCTGGAATTACTAGATATTTATATCCTCCATCAGTAATAATGCAGAAATGGGCCAGGCGTGGTGTCTCACACCTGTAATCCCAGCACTTTGGGAGGTGTAGGCAGGCAGATCACGAGGTCAGGAGATCGAGACCATCCTGGCTAATATGGTGAAACCCCATCTCTACTAAAAATACAAAAAAATTAGCCAGGCCTGGTGGCAGGCACCTGTAGTCCCAGCTACTTGGGAGGGAGGCTGAGGCAGGAGAATGGCGTGAACCCAGGAGGCGGAGCTTGCAGTGAGCCGAGATTGTGCCACTGCACTCCAGCCTGGGCGACAGAGTGAGACTCCGTCTCAAAAAAAAAGAAAAAAAAAAAGAATGCAGAAATGGAAACATGAGAAGCTCAATTGCATTTTGCAATCTCCACCTCTTATTTTGAGATCACATGCAATATTTTTCCATTTGTTTTAATTTACACACTATTAGTTAATTTTAATTAAAATTGTTTTCCGGTTTTGTTAAAAGTTTGTACCAACATTCTTTTAGCTGAAATTGTCCTACCCATTTCTATGGCAACTCTGTCATCATTTGGTAGTCTGCCTTAAGTGAGTCAAGGCTCACATTCTTTCTCTTCTTGGAGGTTCTTCTCTCTCCTTAGATTTTGGGTTAATTGGTTTTCCTGACACTGCAACTCTTTGATGCATTCAAGAAAAGTAGTTACGATTCAGTAGATCTTCTAGCCTTTTCTTATGGTTGGTGAGCACAGTGACCTTATCAGATTTCTGCATTTTAGGTAAAAACCATAAACTCTTTAAACTTTAAACTTTAAACTCTGTAATGCCAAATGTCTTTGTAAATAGTTATATTTTACCCTCACATGTAAATGCTAATTTAGCCAAGTACAAAATTTGAGATTCAAAATGATTTTCCCTCAGAATGATACTGCTTCATTGTAGCCCAGTAACCAGTTTCGATAATGAGAAATATAATGACACTAATTCTTGCTCTATAAGAGATCAGTTGGGTTTGTTTGTTCAGTGTTTTTTTCAGAGAGTTTAGAATTTTTCTCACCTATGTTCTGAAATCTCACTTGAAATATGTCTAATTGCTTTTATCTCTTGTTACTTTTTTTTTAAAAAAATGCTTCTCTATACCTGCTGGGTCTCCTCAATGCTTCCCTTCTGTTCTGATCAATTTTCTCCTGTTAATTCTTTGATAATTATTTTCCTGTCTCTGTTATTTCCTTTTATCACTCTTAATTCACTGATATTAAAATTTTAGGGCCTTAGTTTCATGTCTTAATTCTTTATACTATTTTTCATATATATTAATGTATATGTTAATTTTTTAAGTTCTGGGAGAATTCCTAGTTTTACTCTTTAGCTCCATTCATTCTGACATTCGGTTCTATCTACATTTTTTCCTTTCACACAATTTTCATTACTTATTTTGGTTTTTCCAATTAATGGGGATTCACTTTCATATATCTAAGGACATTAATTATAATATTTATGTGTTTACTTACTCTGTTTCCTCATGTTCTTTGTGTGAGGACTTTCATGATACTAGTTTTCCTCAACTGCTTGCCAATTCTTGGCAGTATATAATTTTTGTATTTGAGAATTCCTGCTGCCTATTCTTTGGGTGGTAGTTCAATATACCTTTCCTGCCTCTGCAATTATATGAGCACCCTGAATGTATTAATGTATTATTATCTGGGGATTCTGATAGTTTTTATTTTGACAGTGAGGGTTTCTTGCTTCTTCTGAGAGTAATTATCTGGGCCCATTTTTATATTTCTCTGGTCTCAGTGCGTGCACCCTATATTTGTTGTAGGAGAAAATATCACTGCTGCCCACTGCTCAGTACAAGATGCTATGTAGTACAGTTGCTCAAAATGCAATTCTGCAGTGACTCACCTTTCAGATTGCCTCAAAGCTTTCTTGTTGACTCTTACTTTGCATATTCCCTGGTAATTTTTCTCACCATGAAGACCATCTTTTCGTGCAAATGCTTTATACTCCTATTTTATGCTGAATGGTTTTTCTCCAAATCTCTTTTTGTTTCCATCAGTTTCTCTTATTCCTGAAATGATCAAAACAATCAATCTGCTAATGGTACTCTTTTGTGTTTGTTTTTCACAGTTATCAATAATTTATATTTTATAAATTATACTTTGTTCTCATTTTATTTGATTTGGGGCATATTGAAAAATACAGATTATGTACACAGTCTGCAAATTTGAATCGATCTCAAGGTCCTAAAAATATATTTGACTTATTTAGATTAAAATAGGCCCCTTTAATGTGAAGTCAATCTAAGTACCCATCAACTAATGGGTAGATAAAGAAAATGTGGTATATATACACTTTGGAATACTGTTGAGCCATTAAAAGGAACAAAACAATGTATTTTGCAGCAATGTGGATGGAGCTGGAGGACACTATTCTAAGTAAAGTAACACATGAGTGGAAAACCACAAACTGTTCTCACTTATAAGTGGGAGCTAAGCTTTGAATACGCAAAGGCATACAGAGTGGTATAATGGACTTTAGAGACTCGGAAGGAGTAGGGTGGAAGAGGGAACGGATAAAAAACTACACATTAGATACAATGTGCACTACTTGGGTGATAGGTACACTAAAATGTCAGAATTCATCACTATATAATTCATCCATGTAACCAAAACCACTTGTACCTAAAAGCTATTGAAACAAAAATAAATACATATGTACATACATAAATACATAAATAAAATAGGCTCTTCTAAAACACTAAACTTCCTTGTTAAATAAATCAGTTAATATTGCAAAATTCGATTATACAGGAAAAAAATCTCTATCTATTGATGATTCTTAATTTATCTAGATTTATAGATATGTAATTTTAAAATAAAATGTTTGACCTCTTTATTTTCATATAATTTTTGGTGTTATGAAGCTTTCTGCTTGGCTATTAGTTCTAAAAACTAGGATATATGATGGATATCCTTATTTAAGTTATGTCTTGTTAGAGAGTCTTTGGGAGGACAGAACTCCTTCTACTTTTGAGAGCCACATTTTCCCTGGCTCTAAAGAATAAGATGACTGTCGTTTTCTCATAAATTGTAGGTTTTTCTACAAGGCTCATTACTGATTCCTTTCAGAGCTCATTTTCCTACAAAATACATAGGAGATCTCAGCGTCCTAAACCAGACTAAACTTTTGAATTGTTGTGTGTAGTAGACCCCAATACTTGACAAATTATCCACTCCAATTAACTATTAACGTAAGTTCTTTAATGTAGAGTCTCAGCATGTAGCCTGCTAAATTTTTAAAAAGAGCCAGCCACCTTTCCTCTCCCTAAACTGTAAAACAGAGAACTTAATAGGTAATTCTGTAACACTTTCTGATAGCTTTCTCCTTAATGAGCTGCTGGCCTGTGTCTCAGAGTCCACTTCCTTAAATGAGAAGAGCATGGTTTTCATGTCAACTATTTTAATATTGACTTCTTTTATACTCATTTTGTTAAGAAATCAACTGAGTCAAATATGACTACTTATAGTTTTTATTGCTTTGCACTAACCAATAATTATGTGTACAAAATTGAGCGGTCAAGAAATATAAGCTTAACATAGCCCCTCAGCTGTAAATGCTTTCATGAATACTAAATCATATAAAACTATCTTAATTAGTATAGGTAGATGTGTTCTGCCTGACCAGGTCACAATTTCAAGTAGCATGTACTAAAACTATGTTTTAATTCTCCTTTTTTAGCTCCTTTTTAATGGCTTCCTACTAAGTTCAATTAATTGGACACATGCTGTCCCGGAGTAGCAAACTTAAAAATATGTGTGTTTTTATGTTGATGAAATGTTTTCTCTTTAGGGTCTAAAAGTTATTACCAGAGGCAACTGGTCTTGCTGTCTAAATAGATAAGAATTGCTTACTATTAACTATGCTAAATAATAACCATCATTCTTAAAAGTTATTCTCCAAAAATGAAGCATTCATTTTAGTCATACATCAGTTCTGGAGACAAACGTACTGGAGACAAATGTACATAGTCCACAGAAGCCTATGTTGCTATATCTATGATAGGTAAATCGTAATATATTTTTTGAAAGAGTTGAGGCCCAAATTAAATATGCTGCAGAACTTTGACATTTCTGAGCATTTATCACTTTATTTGGGGGTAGGGTACCTTTCCTTTTGATGTAGTTTCAGATTTACAGAAATAGTACAAAGAACTCTCATATATCCCTAGATTCACCAGTTATTTATATTTTCTCTATATTCTGTATTACTCTCTATGAAGATATGGATGTAATATTTTTTCTAACCATTTGAGAGGATATTGGAGACCTTTAAGCCTAAATATTCATGTGCACTTTTGAAGAGTAAGGACATTATTTTACATAAACACAGAGCAATTCCAAAGTTGGGAAATTTAGATAGCACTATTTTTAATCCCCATATTCAAATTCCATAAACTGTATCAATAATATTCTTTAGAGATATTGTTTCCTGGGTCTAGGATCTAATCTAGGATCAGGCATTACATTTACTTAATTTTTTTTTTTTTTTAGTTCCTCTAATCTAGAACACTGTTAACCTATGCCCATATGTCTGCAGTTTCTTTTTCTTCAGGTAAAATTTCCATTCAGTGAACTACACATATTTAGAGAGTTGACAAAGGCCTCTATTTCATATAAATATATATATATATATCATATATATAGTATATATATATATTTCATATATATATAGTGTGTATATATATCTATATAGTGTGTGTGTGTGTGTATATATATATATATATATATATATATATATATATATATATACTTTAAGTTCTAGGTTACATGTGCAGAACGTGCAGGTTTATTACATAGGTATACACGTGCCATGGTGGTTTGCTGCACCCATCAACCCATCATCTACATTAGGTATTTCTCCTAATGCTCTCCCTCCCCTAGCCCCCACCCCACAACAGGCCCTGGTGTGTGATGTTCCCTCTATTTCTATAATCAGCACTACTATTAATATACAGGACATCTCTGTTCTCCTCAAAAGTGGGATTACGTAGTATATGCTATTTTATGTTTGGCTTTTTTAGTTCAGCATAATGACTATGTGATAATACATCTGTGTCTTTGCATGTATCTGTTGTTCATACCTTGTATTACAAAGCAATAATTAATTATCTATATATGGCAAAAATAACTTATTCCTGTGTTGACAGCTGTTTAGACTGTTACGAAAAAGCTTCTTTGTAACTTTTTGTACAAATTTTATTATATTTGGTGCATATGTATTTTCATATATATATTTTTAGTAAATAGAAACAGAATCACTATATCATAAGGTAAATATATGTTCAATTTTACTAAAACCTGGCAAAACCTTTTTCAAAGTGGTTGATCCATATTACATCCCTACCAGCTATGTGTGAAAGTTGCCAGTTCTAAAGAACAGGCAAAATGGATCGATGTGAAAAAAAAAATTAGAAAATGGATTGTCTCAGGGTTGCGATAATTTCAGAGTGACTAATAAAGTGAATTTTGGACTTAACTTGGAGACCTTTATGGCCCATTTTTCTCAGATACCACACCTACTTCTTATTAAGAATTCCAGTCAGACTTCTCAACTTTCATAATAGATATTCCATCCTTCTTTTCACCTCTTTGTTTTCCAAAGCTTAAGAACTACCATATATATAGATTGCTAGCATTTTAAACTCATGTGCAAGATTTTATGAGCAAACTGTCTGCTTTTCAGTTTTTAATCACAAACTTAACTAAGAGAATTGATATTCAAGGAAGATGGTCTATTTGACCAACTATTCATGTATTACTCTAGGAATTCTATGTTATGTCCTATTATCAGGTCACACAGCCCAAATGTCAGTTATCTGTAACATGTTATTTTGCATATAAAAAATCTATGTTGCTAGATTGCAATTCAAAATAAAAGTTCTTATTTTTTATTTGCTTGTTTGACAGTTGAAATTCTATTGATGTTTATAATGAAAATACTTGCTTTTTTCTCCTCTCTAGGATTCTGATTACTATTTCAGTTTTATTCATATATGCCAACTAAAGGCATTTCTGAAGTGAAATATCACAGTTTTAAACCTTCAAATACAAGTTAAAAGAAAAATATCCACAACAACAACAACAAAACTCAGCTGGCTTATTCAGAGTGCTTTTCAGCAATTTACTCACTTTGGGAATATCTAGTTTTCTTTGTGGATTAAACACGTCTGACGTGACTCACTGCTCTAAAATTCCCAGTTTTGAAGTAATATTTTGTTTTATTTGTCCTAAGAGACTGAGGGTTAACTGCTTTCTCCCATTTAGCTCTTAAAATGTATCAGTTTATTTACAGTATTTAACATACATATATTAGGACCTTCTTATTCTATAAAAATAGAACTACTTGTTTAATTAAACCACTAATTGCCTTAGCCAAAGGAAAACATCTTACTGAAATAAATGATTTGTCTTGGTAATAGAAGTGTCAAAAGTGCAAATAGATCCCTAATTGCTAGATAATTTCCCAACAATTAATTCTGCTGCTTAAGTATTCCCCAGCTAGCTCCATGTTGCCTCTCATTTTAGATCAGCACATCACCATCTCCTGCTTGATTATTTCTTTGCCTCCAGTCTTGCCCACTTTATCTACGCTACTACCTTTCATCTTTATAAAGTACAGTTACGGCCATGTCACTCTGCTGTATGAGACATTCCATTGTCTTCCTTCTCATACCACTGTATAGTTCAAAATAAAGCCTAACCTCTTTATGTTGGCTTAAAAGCCCTTCATAATTCAAGTTATTTCTGTCTCATCTCTTACCTTCCCCTATTTTGCACCCCTACTCCATTTATAACCATTTTCTAGCCTTATAAATGTCCTTCTCTTCCATGTGAATCTTTGTGTATGCCCTCTTTTTTTTTTAACCTGGAACACTCTACAGCAGCTTTTATACTTCATGCACTTAATGACTACTCTTCCTGTGATGTACTACTGAGTAGAGGAAAAAGTTAGAGCTATTTTTAATTAGTGGTGAAGGTAAGCCTCTGACAGCATGATATTGGATTCTGAAGATGAGAAAACAGCCTTCTAAGGAGAAATATGAGTGGTCTAGAAAGGGCAGAAGTCCTGAACTGGGGAAGATTATGGCATATTTGAGTCATAGAAAAAAGTCAGCATAGCTGGAGAGCATTGGAATGGAGAGAGAGGCAGAGTAGAGAGAATGACAGAAGATGAAACTGGAGAGGTATATACTGAGTGCCTAAATCATGTGTGATATCACAGACCATTCCAAAGACCTTGGATTTTAGTCTAAGATCATTTCTAAGCCACTAATAAGCTTTAATCAGGCAAAAGGCTTAATCTGAAAAAAGTTTTGAAGAGATTGCTCTGTTTGTATTGTAAACAGTGGATAGAAGTGGAGGAGGGTGAAATTGGCAGCTGAGAGATCTGCTAGATCTCTCTAGCAGTAGGTGGCATCCAGGAAGAAAATAATGATGGCTTGGGTAGGTGTAAGCATTGCACAGGGATAAAAGCTACTAATATATAACTTAGGGGATGAGCTAAACAGAACTTGCTGAGGAATAGGGAGTTGATAAAAATCCTCTTATATTTATGTAGAGAATTTCAGAGATTGGAATTTTTCAAGCGTGTTTTTTTTTTTTTTTTTTTTTTTGGTGGTGGTTCTCTTTTTTTCCGCAACAGTAACAATGCATCAACAAAAAATTCTGATAGATACCTTAAACTTACCACACACTTATTTTGACAGCTTTTCGTCTTATTTTTTAGAGTTTAGCTGATCTCCTTGATAAACAAGTTTATTCATGGATGGCTGAAACATGCTTATTATTTATATCAACTAAATAAAGTGGCCTGCAGTCGTTGATCTTGACAGGACAATGCAATAGCTTTCTTGCTGATGTGACTCATTATTTTCTCTTCCAAACTCACCCTGTGAACCCTATGCACCACCATCACAATTTCCTCAAGAACCATTTCAATTAATTTTCTTTTCTGCTTAATATAGTTTTTATAGCCCACTATACTCAGGACTAGGTTTATCTTTCAGGCTTCATTTCTCTTTTCTTTTCCTCATGAATGCAATGTTTCAGCTAAAAATAGCTAGTTAGTATTCCTTGAATCCTCCAGAATTTTATCATTATTTTGTCTTTACTCTTGCAGTCTTTCACAGGACATATTAATATCGTATCTCTAAAACAAAATTCTACTACCCTTAGAGCTTGGAATGAGAGTAATGCATAGTAGTTAAGAAAATTAGCTTTGCAGTTAAAGAATCATAGGTGAGAATTCTGCCTCTGTCACTTAATAGATGCGTGACCCCAGCAAGTTCTTAGCCTAAGGACCAGTTTCCCTTTCTCTGAGATGGGGAAGATGAGAGTATCTACTTTATGATGTTGCACTAAAAATTAAATAAGATCTTACCTGCAACACATTTTATAACATTGTTTGACATAAATTAAGCACCGAACAAATGATAGGTATCAATATCTTTATTAAGGTTCACTTTAAATGCTATGACTTTATATGAAAAACCCATGGCATCAGCTTGAACTATCAACTTGAATGTGATGTTATATATTCCCATTGCTGTTATATATATTATGAGACATATATACATAAGCACAAACAATGTCTTACATGTTCATTATCATAACCAATTGTCTACATCTGTTGCATCATTCTTTCCACATTCTGCTGTGCAATAAGATTGTGTGTATACCAAATATATGATAATTTTTTTTGTCCCATATCCAATTCTTAGATAAAGATTTATACCCTCCTTTCACATTGCTTGTACCTGTATTAGAGTTAAGCCTCAGCTCTCTGAACTCTACATGAGAGTTAAGCCTCAGCTCTCTCCAACCCTGTCACAGCTATCGGGGACATGGATGGACCCTTGGTGTTAGTTGTTTCAGGTACATTCTTTTCCTCCATTACTTAGAAATCAGAGCCTGAGAATATGTCATCTTGGGCAATGTTAACCTAGAGCTTGGAATGGCCATGTTCAGATCTAATGCATTATAAAATAGAGGAAGTTATGCTAGAGAGAGAGAGAGAAAGAGACAGAAGAATGATATAGTTGATCACAGAGAAGGAGAGATGGGAGACCATGCAGTCCTTTATTGACAGATAAAATAATTTCAATTCATAGCTTCCTTGTTCCTGGTGTCAGTCCATTTTGCAATCTAGCTACACTTCCTGCCAGGTCTTTTGGTGAAATAGCCTATAGTCTTCCATGAAATTATCTTCAGTTTTAGTAGATTTTGTTACTAACACATAAACCATCTTTGTAAGAGGCCACATGCCTATCTCCATTCCCTTCAAGCACTGTAGCTGCATGAATATCTTTTCCATCTTCATCTAGGTCAGTGCCTAACACAGAGCAGCAGTAACAACCTGATGGCAATAAATTGGTTTTACCATTGCTCACAGTCTAGAATTTAACACAATACTATTCAGGCACAAAATCAAGCTGATTTAAAAGTAAATTTAAATTAATTTTCTTTGAAAACGTTGGTAGTGTTTTATAAAAATCCTTGAGATTTTCTCTGAGATCCTGGGCTGGGAATTACTATATTAAACCAAAGTGTAGTAAGTATCAAAACTGGCTTTACATATGAGTGTGTCTCATACATTTGGAAAAAGCCAAGATGTTTCTGGATTGAGATCTTCTTCTAGTAAATAATAGCTTCTTTGAAGCTGTGTTGTATTCCAGACATTTCACTTATTAACCAAGGAGAAGGCAGATATTTGTATATTGCTGGCATGAAGACATTCTAAATTTCACATTCTAAATCTCAAATGGATATTTCAAAGCTTTCATAGTTGTATTTTTTGAAACTTCAATTTATGTAGACTAGAAAATATAACTATTTTGAAATATAATTTAAAATTATTGGTCCTGTGAAGATGGCAATGTCGTGATTCCAAGGGAGAGTAATGATGTGTTAAAAGGTACACAAAAAGTTAATCAGAGAAAATAGATTGCAGAGGTTACCAGCTAGGGCTCAGGAGTCAAGCAGCTTGGACCTCAAATAAATTCTGTAAAATTAATTGCTACTTGTATAATTCTGAGCAAGTTATCCAACATCTCTTAGCCTCAGTTTTCTTATCTTAAACATCAGGATGTAGATGCAAATAGTACTCACAGAGTTTGGGAAAAATTAAATCAAGCTATTTAAGCAAAAGTTTTGGCATTATATCTGACATGTGAAAATCTTACAATTCATGTGGGCTATTGGTGGTATTTCATTGTAGTAATCATTATGGACAGATTTTCATCTGATTTTACTTTTTTCCTGGCTTCAATAAGAATTAGATGAAAAAGACTATAAAACTGCATCTGTGACAAAAATTATATTTATAAATTAATTATGCATAAACATTGAAAGGGCAAACTCCAATATTTTAACAGGGATCTTTGTTAATAAAGATAAGAAACATTTTCAATTATTTCTGCTGGTACACATATATTTTCCAAGGCTCTACTAACCAAGACAGACTTAATTTGCCCTCAGCTTAAGTGAACTTTAGACAGGTTTATTCCGGACTATAGGACCTTGACTTGACCTCCCTTTTTAGAGCACTTTTTAATGAAAACTTTTAATTATAAATTATTTATCTGCCTCTTTGAAATGTAAACATTCTATAATCCACAAATGTCTTTCCCAAAGTCCTGGGAGTCATCCCTTTGAAATATAATCATGGAAGGACATAGGATCATTGTCTCCCAGTCTCTGTGGGACCATAGGAACCTAACTTTAATAAGCAACAATTGACAAGCACAGATGACCTAATCTCACTGATGGACTTCTCCCAAAACATCCTCCAGTATTTTTCCATTAGTTCACTCCTGCCTTTAAAAATTACCTGCCTTAGTTCAATGGGGTTGAGTTCAATTTCTCTCCCCTATTTCAATAGTCTCTCTCCTTTATTGTAATAGTCTTGAATGAAGCCTTCCTTGCTTGTTTAACTTATCTGGTGCAGTTTTGTCTTTTACATTACAAGGATTATATCTATGGTAAAATAGAAGTGCAGAGGATGTGTGGGTATGTGTGTGTATGTGTGTGTGTGTATGTGTGTGTCTATCTGTGTAGACATAAGAAAATTTTTGTTAGCTAAAAAAGCTAAAGAGGAACTGAAGTTCAATGTTGTTAAAGTGTTTGTCTTCAAACTTATCTCTTAATAGATTACAATGATTGTATTTTAGGAGAACCTGCTAAATTCAAACAGTCAGCTATGTCATGGCAGTATAGTGTCAGTCCCAGAGACTTAGCAGCTAATAGATTTCTTTCTAAAGCACAGACCTCCCATCTAAGTCCAAGTCCCCACTGGCTACTGATTTATAGAGTAGCATTTGGCAAAAGACGGTCTTAATCTTACCTGGGTCTCATTTTCCTGCTTATAAAAGAGAAAAAAGAGGTTCTGAGAAGAAGTACAAAATTCAAAATTGAAAAAAGAATAAAATATTTTCACCTAGAAAGATTTTCTCTCCTTTGGTATGCAAGACGGACTTGCATTAGAGACAGAATAGCATGGCTGGTTAGAGCCACTCTCTAAAGTGGGCTGGCTGCCTGGTTATGCCTTTAAGTGTCTGTGCCTCCACTGTGTAATGAGAATGATTCTAACAGCATTTATGTCATAGTTTTCTTGTGGAGATTAAAGGGATTAATACTAATAGAGAACTTGCACTTTTAATGTGCCTTGTACATAGTACTTTGAAGTCATCCTAGCTTTATATGTTTGCTCTTATATCATTATTATTATTAAATATTTTGATACACGTTAAGGAGAAACAGTGGCCACCAGTCAATTTGATTTTGAACATGAAAGCAGAGTCTGTTATGATTTTCTTTTGGCAAAATTGTAGGATTTTATTATAACCATGACAAGATGAGGGTCACATGCACTTCTGAGATCAAGAAATTACTACATCATATAGTTTGAAAGAAAAAATGTGTTAACAAAGTAGAAAAGAGGCTGGTGTAATTTTGAGTAGGTAGTGTCTCTGTCATAGTGTCCATTTCCAAGGTAATTAGGTGTTCTTCCTCAACATAGTTTGTTGTTGTTGTTGTTGTTTGTAGCATGTCTTTTATTAAATGACTGCATTATAATTTGAATAACAAATTTCCTATAGTTGAAATATTCTGGATAGTTTCCAATTTTTTATCATTATAATAAATGTGATAAACATAAATGTTATACATCCACAAGGGAAATAAAAACATATAATGATAAAATATCAATCTTCAGCAGATTATTTTGTAAATTCTTTTTTTTCCCTATACTTCTGGTATTAATTTTTGAAAGAGGATATTTTTTGATACACATATTTATTTGAAGATCCAATGACATTTATTCATCCATAGATTTACATCTATGTACATTGAATAAAGATGTGTACTTTTTATGGTAGCCATTTTTATTCTGATACTTTGTAAAGATACTAAAGGTTAGATTGCTTTGTTTAGGAAAATTAAAATGTATGGCTTTCTGAAATTATCATTTTTAATAGATGTAATAATTGTCCCAATTTTGAATTAGTGTAGTTAATACAGTTTAGGAATTTTGTTTTAAAATAGACTAAACAAAATAAGGGATATATAAAGAGCACCATTAAGTATCACCAAACAGCTGACTTACCCAAACAGATTTCATCTCCAAGCACAATTTGTATCCAATCAGCAAACAATTCAGAGATCAAAGAAGATGATTTTTACCTGAATTACAAATTACAGTTAATTGCATAATCATATTAACGAAATATCTTATCCCATTATCGTTGTGTATTCATAATAGTTTTCTGAGATTTGAATGTGAAAGCAGGTCAAATACTTCATAAGGAAGGAAACAGAAAGAGGCCCATGATATTTTCACAAAGTCAAGGATTCCATGCATGACCGTGCCTGTGTCTCACTCTGCTCTTATTAAAACTCAACACCTGCAATCATTATTTTTGCTTTGACACATAATATTGAATTTTCAATTTTAGTTGCTTAAAACATTGTCATCTCAACTGATCGTGTCTTTTATTTTATTTTTTCTAGAAGTATTGAAAGCTGTGAAATTATGTGAGTCTGGCCTTGAGAAGTAAAATTTTGGGGGCCACTGATACTTTAGCACTGAGTTTGATGAATTCTGCTCTATACTCAAATATTTCCGAAGGCAACAAAAACAGCAAAAGTTATGTAGTTGACTTTCTTTGTTAACTTAAGCTAATTTTAGGACTGGGTGTAGGGAAGATACATAAAAATGAATGAAGAAAATACAGTTTATAGAAATGGTTATAACTTGTATATCATTCCCCAAAAGAAGCAATCACAGGCAACTTCAGTAGCGGTTTAGAACACAGATTTAGGAATTATACAGACATTTTGCCCCCAAACTTAGTTCCATCACTATTACAAGGAACAGCCATTGTTCAGATGTGTAATGATAGGTGAGAGATGCATTTTTAGATGTGGAACTGCAGAATGAGGATGATGATACATATAGAAATGTAATTGCTATTGCCAAATTACCCTCTAAAAGGACTGCATGCATCTGTTTACACTCCCAAGAGTAAATGAATGTGCTTGTTTCTTCATACACTCAATGATACTAGGTTGTATAAAAACATTATGACTTAGTTTAATGAGAGAAAAACATGAAGCCTCTAATGTTTCCATTAAATTTCTTTATAAGTAACATTATTTTATTTTTAAAAGTCAGAATAAATCTAAGGAAACTTTCTTAGTGCCTCTGCATTTCAAACTAAAAGTTTTACATAATAAATATTTGAAGATATAAAGCACACAATGAACCATGCATAGAATATTAGAAAAAGTATAGACATAATCCAAAATGTCCTTTTAAAATAATATTTTAAAGTGGTTAATTGCATTCATGAAATTATTAAGTCAGTTAAACACTATCCAAGTTTTATATAAACATTCTAAATTTGCATAAATGCACACATGTTTATATTCTCCTTGAATTTCATACTTTACTGGAAAATCTGAGAATGGCCAATATTGGAACAATGCAGCTCTTCCCACGTATTTATGAAATATATTGCCACTTAAATTATAAATTTGATTCTAGTGGCAATTCATTCATTTAGAGTATCTTTTCAAGAGATTTTGCATTAACTAAAAGAAACAGTATATAAAATCTTATTTTTGAGCAGTAAGAGCTATATATGTAAAGTTTTATTCAAATAATTTTAATTTTAAAAACAATACATTTCCAGTCACGTTATTTGCCTTTACATGAGGCACTAATTATTGAGAAAATAACTAATATAAACTTATAGAAACATTTGTTTTTATAGTTCAGAAAATGAGAAATTTAAAAAGAAATTCCACTCTGAAAATACAACCCAGTTTATTTAGGAACACAGATAACTCAAGAGTTGATTTAAAGGAAAAGATGCTTGCACAGCCTTGCCTAATAACCTTTTTTCCTCAAGTATATACTCAGCTAAAACCTTAGATTCCCAGGTTCTTGCAATTAGTAGGGAGGCATATGACAATAGTTTCCCAAATGTGCTTAATAAATAGAGTTGTACTTTTGAAAAACAAACACAGAATAAAAGTATTTTTAAAAGACTTCTGATCAGTTTCACTTGCAAGAAAAAAAGTGAGTCTTCTGAGTATTTTTCAAATACAATGCTCCTTACTCTTGGAATATTTGAACGCTCTTGACAGAACTATATTTTCCTTATTTGTTTGTTCTGCAGTACCTTCATGCAAAAATAGGTAAGGCATTAGAAAAGACGATGAATCTCTCAACTGCCTCATGCTGTTTTCTGTGAGCAATACTAGTGAAATGCATGAAATAAGAGATGGTTCATTATTTTGAGTTCTGAAAATTAGTTGTGCATTTAATAGTTCTGTGAGATCCTATTCAGTGAGAATATTCAGGGCTTGTTTTGATAACAAAGTCAAATTTGATTCAGTTAGACTCCTGAAGGAAGTTGGGAATATAAAGGCTAAGTCAACATCCTAATAGGAATTCCCAGTTATTCCCTATATGCACTGGTATTTTTGCATTCTAGAGACTCAAATATATTACTAACAGTTAAATAATACTGATATTTTTCTGCAAATATAATTACCTCTTTCTTTTACCACCATCTGCTCTTCTAGTTTTCCATTCACATGGATATCACTCAGGGAAATTCTCCCATAAGGTATACAAATGTGGAACTAACCACCTCCCTCATCCTGAACTAACAAGAACAGGGTGTTTCTCTACCCATTGTTGGCAAACATCTTGGAAAGGCTCAGATAGTAAATATTTTCAGTTTTGCAGCTCATACAGTTCCTGTGGCAAGGATTCAACTCTGCCAATACAGTCTGAAAGTAGCCTTATGTAAAAAAGTAGAAGTGGCTGTTTTTATATTTATTTACAAAAGGAGGCTGAAGGCCAGATTTGGCCCATGGGTCTTAGTTTGCTGACTCCTACCTGTAACACAACATGCCTAAGAAGAAACTAATCCTAAAACTTCTTTTGAGAGAATTAGTAATTTTATTTATTTATTTAACTTTTATTTTAGAATCAGGGGGTACATGTGCAGGTTTGCTACATAAGTATATTGCCTGATACTGAGGTTTAGGTTTCTAATGATCCCATCATCCAAGTAGTGAACATAGTACCTGATAGGTAGTTATTTAACCCTTGCCCCCTTCCCTTCCTTCCCCACTTTGAAATCCCAGTGTCTATTGTTCCCATCTCTGTGTCCATGTGTACCCAATGTTTAGCTCCTGCTTATAAGTGAAAACAGAACATGTGGTATTTGGCTTTCTGTTTCTGCGTTAATTCACTTAGGATGAGGGCCTCCAGCTGCATCCATGTTGCTGCAAAGGGCGTGATTTCATTCATTTTTATGGCTGTGTAGTGAGAATTAGTAATTTTTAACTAAGGATGTAGAGTAAAATGATCTAGAAACTTATCTGTATTTTATTTGGCAGTTCAGTGACTTAAACTATGTGGAGAGGAGTTTTAGATTTTAAAGAAGCAATATGCAGAGGCCAGGCATGGTGGCTCATGCCTGTAATCCCAGCACTTTGGGAAGCCAAAGCAGGCAGATCACAATGTCAGGAGTTGGAGACTAGCCTGGCCAATATGGTAAAACCCCATCTCTACTAAAAATACAAAAATTAGTCGGGTGTGGTGGCACACACCTGTAGTCCCAGCTACTTGGGAGGCTGAGGCAGAAGAATCGCTTGAACCATGCAGGCGGAGGTTACAATGAGCCGAGATTGTGCCACTGCACTCCAGCCTGGGCTACAGAGTGAGACCCTGTCTCAAAAAAAAAAAAAAAAAAAAAAAAAAAAAAAAAAAAAAGAAGCAGTATGCTTGGTTGAACACTAACAACTGTAACCCTTCCTTCTGGCATCATTTAATAATTTTAGTAGGGCAGACAATGCTGGTCACTTAATCAATGTCCATTCCACTCTCTCTCCTCACGGACAAAACACATATTTATTTTGAGGGATGGCCATATAGCTGGCTAAAAACCTGGATGTCTCACATTTCTTACTTAAATATCAATAGCAAGTGAAGTTCTTCTAACAAGTCGTGTGAGAGTGGAAGTCTACTCAGGTTGACTTCCAAAGCTGTTGTTTTTAAGGCAAAAAAAAAAAAAAAGAGTCAGCTTTTGCTCTGAGCCCTTCTTCCTGCCTTCATGGAATGCAGTTCTGATGCTTGACATTTCTCAGGCATATTGTGACCTTGAGGATAAAGCCACATGTTTAAGTTGGAGGAAACTGAAAACTGGGAGAAGACTGAGCTGTGGACTCCCTTGAGGAGGTGTAAGTATCATGGTGTGATTGAATATAGATTCTTGGTTAGGAGTAAAAGAAACCTTATTTGATTAAGCCACTGAAGCCAAGATTCTGATATGTATAGCTCAACTCAATACTATCTTTAGATTTAAAATAGTGTCTCTATTTTATATAAGATGAACATGATCTAAAATTCAATTTTACACCAGAGTCTAATTTCATTAATTTCATGTTTCTCTTCCTGCTTCTATTTTAATAGTTATTTTTTCAAAGAGAGTTCTATTTCAGAAGATTTAGGTAGGAAATTAAGGAAATTGCAAAAACCCTTTCACTGTGCTAAGGTGCTCTTACTTTGCAGGTATGTTCAAACTAAATACTTCTGTCTGCAATATTCTCAGCAGCAGGCATCGCTGACCCTAAACTAGAGTATAAAAGAGTGGGAGGATGAAACAGAAATTGAAAAAGCTCTTAAAAATCAATAAAATGTTAGGTTGTACAAGATATTGAAATACAAGACATTGCTCTTAAGAAAACAGCTAGATAGCTAGGTCAGAGTGCAGTAGGTCAAGTCCTTTTTATGAACTGAGCAGGGAGGTTGTGACCATGAAGGAGCTGCACAGCAGGGAAAGATTGCTGCAGAGCAGGTAACAGCCTGCCAAATAAAGACGGCTTCATGTCAGGAACCACACAATCTTCTGGGAGAGCAGAGGTTTGCTAAAGGATTCTCTTAAGATTTTTTTTTTTTTAATTTTTGGGGCCTAGTGCAAATGCATTTCTTTCCCACAAGAAGCATGACTAATTCTCCTGATCTTTACAAATAAATAAATAAAGATTCCCTTAAGACCTTGGTCTTGTCCACACGTGACTTGAAGCAATAGAGGTAGAAATGAACCTCACACACAAAAAAATCCTTACTGATTCTCTTAACTCTACATTATAATGCTTGGAAGTATTTCTGACAGTCAGAGATTTGAGAAATTTATTTGAGTACTTTGTTTTAAAATAACGAATACTTTTCAAATATTAACTGTAAGGAATTTAAAAGGTAGATTATATACTAGACTATAGAGAATATACGTAACATTCAAACACTCTCCACTTCGTCTCAAAGAAATGGTGATAATTTTGAAATGCTGCTGCATGAGAAAGTGTCTGAATTTTTCTGTTCTGGAATCTTTCCTTTTTTTTTCTCACATTGAATTTATTCTCCATGGTATAGACTGTGATGGAATGCCAAATTATTTCTTCTGAAGCCTTATTAGTAAATATTAGTCTAATCAAATATTTAGTCAAGACATAATCTTCCATTACTGAATTTTTATTTGTTCATTACAGAAGTGCTGGATATTTCCAAACCTGAACACACTCTCTGTAGATACTTCATGGGAATTAATATTATTGCACTATCACATGTATGTTCTTATCATGCTATGAACATGGCAATTAAAAGCCCTGTGACTACTACTACTAACTCAGTTGGAAAAGCAATTATCCACTTACTCATCACCAAGGCACTTCTTAGGAATGCATTTCAGAACAATAATCAATAGAGATATTTATGTTGATATAGTATTGGTTATATTCATGTCTGATATAATATGGGTTACAATGACACTACAAAGTTTAACTTTGGATATGCCATGGGTAGAAATTAAATAAACCTTGTAATTAAAACCAGATAAAAGTTCATGCTTTGTACCACAGCTGACTTGGATCTTGGCCACAATAGCTAAAAGATGAAAGGATCTCGGTAATGCCTCAGAGGTAGTGGGAAACTAGAGCTACCCATTTGCCATTTAAGAATTTCTCAGATGATCCTGAGCCTTGAAAAGGAATGGTGTGGCTTGCCTGGGGCACATACCTTCAACACCTTACCATATGCCACTCCCTCAGCCAGGGAGGTGACTCTAGTCCACTCTGAGTTATAAAGAATTTTTTCTTTCACGCACCACATTTTCAGCTTCTCCTAAAATCTAGAAATATCCTCAAACTAACATTAAACCAACAGCGGTGTCTGTAGGCCTGGCTGTATCGCTCCAGAACATTGGGCTCAGCCAGTTAAACTCTGACAAGCAATCTTTATGTCCTGATTGTCCAAGCACAAATGGCTGACCATCAGCAATTAAACATAGCATCCAGCAATTCACATTCTAGCACATGTCGAACGAATCCTCCAGGAATTATCATAACCAATTTAACTCAACACTTCCAAGGAAGAGGATTAAGATGTGCACACCAGAGTAATTTCTTCTCACTCATTCTTTTAGCTTGCTTGTGGCACAATTGGTCCTTAGAGCAAGAGTCACATCAGAGAAAGTATGCTTGGATGCATTTATTCCAGCAATGTCAGGAAACTCATCCTGGTTAGTAGCCCAAACTGTAGCTTCTAACATGGGAGATCTTTTAAAAATACTTTAGCCCATTTCACTATGTGTTTGTATTGCAACCAGAACACATAAAAAATAATGGCATGCAGCTGGGTGCTGTGATGCATGCCTGTAGTCCCAGCTACTAGGAAGGCTGAAGAAGGAAGATTGCCTGAGGCCAGCCTGGGTAACATAGCAACACCTTATCAAGAAAAGAAAAAAAAAAAAAGATAATGACATGCAAAGAGGCAGAAAATAAAGAAAGTCCCATTTTAATCATGAGAATTCATCTGGGAAATAGTAGACTTTTTAATAGAATTTAATTATTTTATTTTGATTGTAGTGTTATTCAAATTACAACTTATCCTGTTCTAGATTATTGTTAGTGATCTGTAAATGTCTTCCAAATCATTTGATAAAAACACTTTCTAACAGTGAGCTACTGCTTGATTTCAGAACAGGCTGGACTTTTGAATCCACAAAATGACACTGTTATAAATGTCCAGGATTCTGCATAAACTCTGCTTATTTTTCCTTACTCTTAGGAAGATTAGATAGTCTGTTTTCAAGTCACAGTCCTTTTTCTGGTCTCTCATTTGGTGTGGATCAAGTCACTTAACCTTCTATGTGTTTGTTTCTTCATCTTTAAAATTAGGTTAATAATTTTGACCTTTTGCCTTGGCGTTTTACTCTGAACTAAAGAAAAACATTAACACATGGAAATTATCCTGGGATCTGTAGATGAAATGTGCAGAGATGGAAGGAGTTATTCTATTTAAAAGAAAAAATTAGACATACTTCAGTGAATTCACTTCACATGTGTGTTCTGCTTCAGTGAAGTTGAAAGAAAGTGGTTACTGGAATAGACAGATGTTTACATGCATGTTTGGACTGGTAAGCAATGATATTGAAAATATTACTATTCCTAACACATAGAGACTTACTGGCCTGATCAATTTGATTCTTCACTTATTTATTCACAGCTGAATTCTGCTTGCAGTACACATGCAAAGCATTCTTGCTGGCAGGTAGGGGAATAAAGATTTTTTAGTTTGTGTTTTTAAAATGAACTCAAGAAGAAAATTAAATTCCAGATACTTCATAAATATATTTTTACAAATATGTTTCTATAAATTTTAGTTTACCTCTTGCTGAGAGAAAATCAAATGCATTGTGAAAAGTGGAGAGGATATGTGAAGACCACCTTCCCTTTCTTTTCCTTGACCTCTGCAACTGTCCTTTATTGCATTGTTTTTGATCTGGGTAGAGGTTATGGAAGGTAACTACTCTCCAGAACTATGAAGCCTATCTGCTTTGTCGTTTCTCTTTAAGTCCCTTTAAAAAAATCTAAAGACATGAATTAGATGCTTGGACATGTCTTTTACTTTACATACCTCTATTTCCCTATTTCCCTCTAGGAAATATAAGAAATCCAGTTTTTCCCCCTTCTGTGATTAATATAAATTTTGTGTAGTATTAATACCCAACAGCACAATTCAAAAAAAATTTATCAAAGAAAACCCTGATAACAAATCACATTTTAATTCAAATTTTATAATTTTACTCTAAAGTGACATGAAATCTTGGATTTATGGAAATTATAGATGTTTGGATTAAACACATAAATTATTTAAGACAAGAAAGACCATTTCTTACATAAAATTGACCATAGACAACTGACAACCTTAAATTCTTAGGCTCAAATCTAAAGTGTGGCAAGGTAGAAGTATGCCCAACATACTTCCTTTTTTTCGACTTCTCCTTTGCAAAAAAACTACACCTACCAGTCATACTGTCCAGATGAAAGCCACTCAGTCTGCTTTCAATAAGAACATGAATTAAATACTCTCAATGGAATCCCACTGCTGGTTGAGTCAAGCATTCTTTGCACATCCTGCTTCACAAAGTTCCACAAAATCTGACCATTCCTTATATTTTAACATGATTATAATTCATACATACTGAGCATTTGCTACATATCAGGTGCTATGCAAACGATTTACTTTTCCAAACTTAAATAATAATCCCAAGAATTCCACAAGGTAGACACTGATAGTTTGCTAAGTTACAAATGTGTAACTAAATCTAGAGAAAACTGAGTAACTTTGCAAGAGGCTCAAGGTTAGTAAGTGACAGAAACAAAATATAAACTCGGATCTGCCTGATTTGGGATGGTTTTCTTAATACTTACACTGTCTTGTCTCCTGTCCAAATAACTCTGGAAATTGTTTTATTCTCCCTGTTGTTAGTTGCTACTCTCTGTCTTCCTCACTTCCAC
The DNA here is from genome assembly GCF_000001405.40 of Homo sapiens. NCBI lineage: Eukaryota > Metazoa > Chordata > Mammalia > Primates > Hominidae > Homo > Homo sapiens. The sequence goes on from NC_000007.14 coordinate 89,314,882, forward strand.
TTCCAGAAAACTTCAAGCTCTTAACTGCTCTAACCTGTTCACCAAGTTCCTACTGGTGAACAGGTGTGTATTAGTCCATCTTGCATTGCTATAAAGAAATACCTGAGGCTGGATAATTTATAAAGAAAAGAGGTTTAATTGGCTTACAGTTCTGCAGACTGCACAGGAAGTATGATGCTGGCATCTGCTTGGCTTCTGGGGCAGCCTCAGGAAACTTACAATCATTGTGGAAGACGAATGGGGAGCAGGCATGTCACATGGTGAGAGCGAGAGCAAGGCGGGGCGGAGGTGCTACACACTTTTATACAATCATGTCTCATGAGAACTCACTCACTATGATGAGGACAGCACCAAGTTGATGGTTCTAAGCCATTCATGAGGAACTGCCCCCATGATGCAGTCACTTCACACGAGGCCGCAGCTCCACCACTGGGGATTATAATTCAACATAAGATTTGGGTTGACATAGATCCAAACCATATCAAGGTAAGCAAGTGATTATTGTTCTAGTAGTTTTTGAAAAAGTTTATAAATGATTATCTATAAATTATACCTCTGCATTTGATTACAGATGCTAAGTAGTTTAGGAATCTGAAGTTAGTAAGCTTTTCTTTTTAAAATATTGATACATCCAAGAAGAGAAGATAATAATTAAATATAGCATTGTTTTAGTTTTGTGCTTATTATATATTGTTGATTTTTATATTATATACATTGATTTTATTGATTTTAGCAGAAAATTTAGCTCTGATGGAGTTTTGTCATCTTGATGGTGAAAACAGTCTCATCATCCTTTTAAATGAGTCACTGCTAAAAAAGTATCTGAATAGACACATGGCTCTAAATACACACACACACAAACACACACACACACACAAGCTGATCATGTCAAGTTATTTAAAGTCAGAAGACTTACCAATTGATCCTGCGCTGGCAGAATTTTATCAGTTTGGGGAACTAACTGGGGCCTGATCATCACTGGTAAAAATATGTGCTATATAATGATAATTTCTTTGTCTTGTGAAAACACTAAAATTCCTAGGAGAACTGGCTAACTCATATTTATTGTCTGCATTGTAGGAATTATGTAGAACCAGAAAATAAGAAATACCTCTGTACAATTGTGTGTGTGTGTCTGTGTATGCATGTGGGTATCACCAAAAAATATTAAAATATTTTCCAAACAAAACTAAGCATGTGACTTAATATTAATTCTGTTGGTCTTCATGCCCATTAAGATGTTCTTAATCAGTGGATCTCTGTGTTACAAAGGTGGTTCTGGATAGGGGTTAGCAAGATTAATATGTTGAAGGGAAATATAAAAATGAAGCTGTGTTCTTCCTAACATTATGAGGAAGCATACTTGAACCCTAATAAAATTCTAAAAGAATTTTCCTCTTTTCAGTTTCCCTAAATGTACTGCTATCTCTGACCCTCATCATCCTGGCATTTAAGTCACAATGCTGACAAAATCTAATCAGGAAATGGCAACCTATAAATTTTGTGGACCAATGTAAAAGGGCTCCCTTTATCATAATATGATAATATCATAATATCAAATATACCCGGGGTCCCCAACCCTTGGGCCACAGGCAAGTACACACTTTTTTGGGGAGATTGCAAAAATAAAGGGAAAAGCCACAAACGCAGAAAAAGGAAGGGAAATTAAGATATGTAAGCTGAGTCTTCCACTTAGGTTATGGAAAATCACAACAAAAGATCACCTCTCATCACAGCAAGAACATGCTAGATGTTCTACAAAACCTAAATTTTGTAAAGACCATCAGAAAGCTGAGGTTGTAATGTAAACTAATGAAATGAAAGGCTAATGATGGACTAGTTGAGAAGAAATCCTTCCACAGGCAAGTCTGCACTCATCCACACAACCCACTCTTTTATGTGGTCTTTACTTAAAAGAGAGCTCATGAAGATTCTGAGCAGCACGGAGGCATGAAAAAGACCCTTTGTACTGCAAACAGGAGAAGTCTGCCTAAGTTTGAGTGTGAAACAGGAAAAACAAGGAAAACCCTCCCACATTCTGGATTCTGCATGAGTTTAAAGGCAAAGATCTTTTGTCACTTAAAGAGGGGCCAGCAAACACTCCCTTTACTTTCAGCCTAGCAGCAAGTACAGAGAAATGTTATCTACAATGGAGGGAGGTCAGGACTATTGAGAAAGCCCAACCCCAGGGCATAGGTATACAGAGACTAAGACTAAGGCTGAAACAAGAGAGCCAAAAGAAGTCTTCTTATGATTTAGATTCTGCCTGAGAGTGAGGTAGGAGGTCATTAGCCACAGTGGGAGGGACAAGAATTCTATTTGTATTCCAGAACTTGTACAGAGAAGAAGACAAAGGTTTTCTCCTGCCTATACTCTTGATTATAGGTTGAACCATGAGGCAGAAGTCATCTGTTACTAAGTGAAGGGGTGGAAAACATGCACATGGTGTAAAGTCTGCAATGACTAGGAAGAAGTGTATGCTTCTGGGAAAAGAGCAGAAAAATTGAGAGTGATTTCCTCTGGGGTGTAGGTGCAGGGTGAGCCTGCACCCAATATGACTAAATGCGAAGCAAAGAACTGGACTAAGTGAGGGCTACTGCCAATGAGCAGTTAACTAGAGCTTTTCTATGAGAGAGAATATCAAGTAAGGAGGAATATTCTAAGACAAAGCACCTGGCTAAGAAGCTGGAAAAGACAGATGGAGTGATAAAGAAACGGATGCATTTTGCAAAGAGCAGCTGGCTAGAGTAGAGGAAAGGAACTCAGAGTTCTGCAAGGTCACCACTCAACATAATTAGAAAGCTGCTGAAGAGGTGGCAGGAAAGTTCAAGTGCATAAGTCTCATCCAGTCTTTACTGATCCATATGCCACAATTCTCCAGTATTATCACCAGAACAACCCAAAACTCTCAGCTGCTCTGCTCTGGCCAACCAGTATAGACAGAGCATGCTTGTGAAGGGAAGATAAAATGAACTTTTAGAGCATGCAAAATTTCTTCAACATTAATTCAAGGGATGCAACATATTTTTTTTCCTAGTAAGAAAATAACCTATTTGAAGAGAAGAGCATCAAAAAGTATTATGTAGCAGATTCAACAGAATTATATTACATCTTAATCAGCAACAGTTTAAAAAGCCAAGGCCTAGATCAGGGATCAGTCATCAAAGAACACTCTTCAATATTAATAAACCTCATTTATGGTGATTAAAAGAGAAGGACAGCTCTCTCCACATTTTTGTATTTTTAACTTAACTTCTACTGATTATAAATTATTTCTCTTGTAATTCAGCTCCATCATTCGGTGAACCTACATTCTAGCAAATTTGGAGTTTGGGTGGCAGGGGCTAATAGGAATGGAAAGAGGAGGAGGCAAACAATCTTGGGGCAACAGTGCTATGTGGAATTGTCTAGACTGTGGCATGTTGATTTTCTCTCTTTTGCTTTTTTCCTTTGATTACTTAAGAGCTATCTCATTTTAACTTCTAATAGTGATCATGCAAACAAAAAGACAAAAAGGAGAAAAGATGTACCTTTTTACTGGAATAGTATTTATGATTAAAAGTCAAACAAGGCATTTTTGTCAATATAAAGGCAATTTTAGCCAGGCACAATGGCTTACACCTATAATCCCAGCACTTTGAGAGGTCAAGGTGGGCAGATCACCTGAGGTCAGGAGTTTGAGACCAGACTGGCCAACATGGCGAAACCCTGTGTCTACTGAAAATACAAAAATTAACCGCGTGTGGTGGCGAGCACCTGTAATCCCAGCTACCTGGGAGACTGAGGCAGGAGAATTGCTTGAACTCGGAGGCAGAGGTTGCAGTGACCTGAGATGGTGCCACTGCATTCCAGCCTGGGTGACAGAGCAAGACTCCATTGCTGAGACCAGCTCATTCGGAGAGACTCTAACCCAGCGGCGCTAGAGGAATTAAAGACACACGCACAGAAATATAGAGGTGTGAAGTGGGAAATCAGGGGTCTCACAGCCTTCAGAGCTGACAGCCCCGAACAGAGATTTACCCACATATTTATTAACAGCAAACCAGTCATTAGCATTGTTTCTATAGATATTAAATTAACTATAAGTATTCCTTAAGGGAAACGAAGGGATGGGCCGACTTAATTGAAGCAGGAACACGCCCTTAAGACACAGATCGCTCATGCTAATTGTCTGTGGCTTAAGAATGCCTTTAAGTGGTTTTCCGCCCTGGGCAGGCCAGGTGTTCCTTGCCCTCGTTCCTGTAAACCCACAACCTTCCAGCTTGGGCATTAGGGCCATTATGGACAGGCTATAGTGCTGCAGAGATTTTATTTATGGCCAGTCTTGGGGCCAGTTTATGGCCAGATTTGGGGGGGCTTGCTCCCAACACTCCATCTCAAAAATAAATAATTAATTAATTAATTTTAAAAAATTAAGGGAATTTTGGCTTACACAACTTCTCCTTTACCATAAATACTGTTATATTCACGCCATTCACTATCAATAATAAATGTTTTGTGATGAATATTGGCATTGTAAAACCAAAAACTCAAAAACCCTCATCCAAAAACTTTATGGGCAACTGAAAACCCCTCCCATACATGGAACTGCACAGAGTACCAAGAGGCAGCTGTCTGCCGCTGGTAGACAAGAGCACTGAGAAAGATATAGCTCTACTCCTGTGTCCAAGTCACAGGTGCACAGAGCCTGTTTACGCGTGAAAACATACACATTGAAACAAAACTTCACACAAACACATACTCTAGGACTTTTAGCAAGTACTACACAGTAGCAATGTACTTCTGAGATAGAAGAATACTGATAGAAAGTACTTCTGTGATGCACGCACACAGGGCCAGCTGAAGTATTAGTGTAGAGAACTAATGATAAGGTAGTGTCTATATGCAAATCAGGTACTTGAAGGCTGTGGACACTGATCTTAAATAAAGCAACAAAGACCAAATGCAGCTCAACTAGAGATTGAGTTAGCCCAACACTCGTACTTGAGGGCTCACAGAAAAAGAAGCATGTCTGTTTCTGGGTATAAATATTATATGCATTAATCTGTACTGTTCATCTACAAACAATGTTCAGTATTTAATTTAAAAATTATTTGGCACATATAAGTCAAGAACATATTGCTCATCATCAAGAGGTATAATAGTCAATACAACTAGATTCAGAAATGGGGTGGGGGGCTAGGGGAGGGATAGCATTAGGGGAAATACCTAATGTAGGTGATGGGTTGATGGGTGCAGCAAACCACCATGGCATGTGTATATCTATGTAACAAAACTACACATTCTGCACATGTACCCCAGAACTTAAAATATAAATAAATGAATAAATAAAAACAAATAGCCTACATGTTAGAATTATCAGAAACTTTAACAAATAATAATATATTAAAGGATTTAGTGGAAAAAGTAATGATATACAACAAAAATGAAAAATTTTTAAAGTACTATAAAAAAGAATAAATAAAAATGCTAGAAACTAAAAACATGGTATCAAAGATAAAGAATTTTTCTGATAGTCTTATCTGCTGACTAGATATAGGAGAGGAAATAATCAATGAACTTGAATCCATGCTTATAACCTAACTAAATAAAAACACACACAAAAAAACAGTGCCAAATAACTGTAATGGAGCACTTGTGATATTTAGCACAGTATAAAATCATTTAGCATATACACTATTGGAGTGCAAGAAGGATAAGAGAGCATGAGGTAGAAAAAAATGGAAAAGATACTATTTGAGGATTTACCAAAATTAATAAAAGATACAAAACTACAGATTCCAGAAGCTCAGAGTATCCCTAAAAGGACAGATATAATGAAAAACATGCCAAGGTACACCATAGTCAAACTTATAAAAAATAAAGAGAAAATCTTTAATCCAACCAAGGGGATAAAAAAGAAACTTTACATACAAGAAAGCAATAATAAGAAGATAGCAGACATTTTAGAAAAAGCATGCAACTAAATGATGTTTTTAAAGTGCTTCAATTAAAAAAGAAACTAGAAATACATATCCAAAAAATATGTTTCCTAAAAAGTAGGTAAGATGAAGAACTCATACAAAAATGTATAAATAAAACAAGACAGAGTAAATATGTTAGGAAATACAAAAGTTCCTTTAAAAGTATTCTTAACATATGATTTTTGAATGCATCAAGTAAAATAATAAGAAATAGTTTACCATGTATACTGAAATGAAGTATATGACACCAAAACATGACATATTGAAGAGTATTAGTTGAAAATATACATTAATATTATTTTAAATGGATCATATTATAGAATTTTAACATAAACTGTAATAAATTTATGATGCGGCCAGGCACGTTGGCTCACGCCTGTAATCCCAGCACTTTGGGAGGCTGAGGCGGGCGGATCACGAGGTCAGGAGATCGAGACTGTCCTGGCTAACAAGATGAAACCCCGTCTCTACTAAAAATACAAAAATTAGCCAGGCGTGGTGGCAGGTGCCTGTAGTCCCAGCTACTCAGGAGGCTGAGACAGGAGAATGGCATGAACCCGAGAGGTGGAGCTTTCAGTGAGCTGAGATTGCACCACTGTACTCCAGCTTGGGCAACAGAGCGAGACCCCATCTCAAAAAATAATAATAATAATAATTTTATGTTACATATTTTAATGTCTAGTGCAACTATGAAAGTGACATAGGTAGACGTAACTAAATAATCAATAGAAAAGATAAAACAGAATTCTACAAATGTTAGATCTACTAAAAAGCATATAGAAAAAAGAGAAAAGAGAGAAAAGAGCAGATTCACCAAGTATACAGATGGTATTTTAAGTATACAGATGGTATACAGAAATACAAACATTGAAATAATTACATTAAAGGTAAATAAATACCTAAATTAAAAGGAAAAAAATCCTGAATGAATAAAAACACAAGATCCAAATAAATGGCTTTTAAAATAAATACATTTTAAAGACACAATCTGTTTTAAATTAAATGAATAAAAAATGATATACCATACCAACACTAAGTAATAGAAAAGAGATATGACAGTACTAATATCAGACAAAGTAGACTTCAAAGGAAAGAGTATTTTGAGATGAAAAGTGGGATATTTCATAGTTATAAAAAGTTAACTAAATAACAAGATATAGCAATTCTAAATTCCTGAATATGTATGCATCTGATGCGAAAGTTCTCAAAAACACGTAGTAAAGATTGATGGAAACAAAGGGAACTATGGACCAATCACAAAATGTAAGTGCAGAATTTTATATCTTTTCACTAGTAATTGATAAAACAAGTAGGCACAAATTTCCGTAAGGTAATACATGATTTAAGCAAAACTGTTAACCGCTTGACATAATGATATTTATAGAACTTGAAATACAGCAAACAGAATAAATATTTTCTGCTTTCAAGTGCACATGGTATATTTGCCAAGATAGACCATAGGCTGAGTCAGTATAAACGTTTCTACAACTATCTTAAAAACATTTATGAAACTGTCCAAGACCTGACATCATGCAGAATATGTTCTCTGACCAAAATTGTATTAAAATAGAAATTAGTAACAATAAGATATCCAGAAAATGTGTGAATATTTAGATGTTATTGAAAGCATACTACTAAATAATATCTGGTTCCTTTAAAATATTAATAAAATTAATAATCACTAGAAAGACTGGTGAATAATATAGAATACACAGATTGCCAATATCAGGTTTAAATGAGGTAACATTGCATTAGATGCTTCAAATATCAAAAGAATAAAAAGAAAATTTTTGGAACAATGTTTTGACAATTAAAAAGCTAATTTAAATAAAATGTGAAACAATCTTGAAAGAAACACATTACCAAAACTCACTCAGAAAAGAATAAAAAATCTATTTTGTCTTATATATCTTGCATAAACTGAATTCATGATTTAACAAGTTCCGACAACAACCAGAAAAAATACTCCAGGAAAACATGGCTTCAGTGGTGACTCTAGTATTTTAGGAATATGTAATATTAATTGTATGCACAGTCTTTTAGAAAATAGAGGATAAAACATTCTCTAACTCATTTTATGAGGCCATTATTACCATGGTATTTGTTATAGACCATAAGTTTATGTTCCCTCAAACCCCAATATAATAGTATTATGAAGTAAGTAGACTCTTTGGGAGGTGATTGGACATGAGGGCGTAGCCTTCGTGAGTGGGATTAGTGCCCTTACAAATAAGACAAGAGAGCTTGCCTCTTCTCTCTGGCCTAGGCCATGTGAGGATATAACAAAAAGATGTCCATCTGCAAACCAGGAAGAATTTCATAACTAGACACTGGATCTGTCTGCAGGCAACTTGATCTTGAACTTCCCAGCTTTCAGAACTGTTAGAAATAAATGTTTGTTAGCTAAGCCACCCAGTCTGTGGTATTCTATTATAGCAAACTGAATTGACTAAAACCACACTAGAATGACACAAGAACTTTGAAAGATAATACAGACCAATATCACACATGAACATAGATGCAAAGTTCATAATGAATGTTAGCAAATCAAATTCATCAATATTTCAAAATGTTAATATAAAAACCAAGCAATATTTATCCTATGAATGTGAAGTTTAACACAATAAAATGCATAGAAGTTATTCACTACATAAAGGGAAATTAATAATGTGATCCTTTTAATAGATGCAAAAATGTATTTAATAATATAACACACTTGTATCATAATTATGTTGCTTAGTTTTCTTTACTATATGGCCATCTACCTTTATCATTAAAGGATAAGAATGCAAGGTATTGTTCTAATCTTACCTATGTTACCTCTTTGTTTATTACCTAGACTGTAAGGTAATAAAGCAGATTCACTCTTTACCACCCGCTTTGCACAATACCCTATTTGTTTTCCCATTATTGTGTGTAAATGTGTAAAGTAGCATTTTTTTCTGAAATATGTATGCCATGTGCTGTCTGTTCTCAATAAGAGCTGATTCATTACACACCCTCAAAGAACATTTTCCTTCCAAATGGATTATGTTCTCTTTAAATGGAGGAAGGTTACTGACAATCATTGTATGTGCCATGGCTGAAGTAAATGAGTTCTTGTCAGAACAAGGGGAGAAAAATAGAAATTTGGGCTAAGCCAAAACATGAGGCTGGCAAAATTTGGCCTCTGGATTCTTAGAAGTCCTCCCCATCTGTCCAGTGATTGATAGTCCTCTTTTCATCATACAAAGACACTTTTGGAAGGGTCTTTTATAAGAGATACAATCACTTTGGTGTAACGTTTTCCGTAAGTATTGGATTTGCAATTAGTATTTTGTTGATGTTTAATAGCAAGACGTTGAAATATTCTATAATAATTGTCCATTTTTTCCTCCATGCAGTGGGTATCCATTTTCACTTTGTGTATTTTAATGCTCCATCATCATTATGAAGAAACCTTTCTTATTCCTGGTAAAATATCTTTGCTCTGAGATCTAATCTGTCTTACAGTGATATGGCCCCCCTAGCTTTCTTTTGACAAGTGTTGACATAATATGTGTTCTTACATTCTTTTCTTTTGACTCATTTTGTCCTCATTTTTAAAAAAGCTTGTTTGTGTAGTCAACAGAGTTGACCTCACGCTTTTATCCAAATGAATACTCTCTGTCTTTTAATTTTGGTGTTTAGACCATTTACATTTAATATATTATTATTATGTTTAAATTTTATTTATTATCTTGTTATTTATTTTATAATTGTCCAGTCTACCTTACCTTCTTACTTTTTTTTTTTTTTTTTTGCATTTTCTTGCACTGAGTACATTTAATGATTTTCTTTTATCTCCTTTGTTGTCCTCCTGGCTAAAACACTTTATCATTTTAATGGCTGCTGTAGAGTTCATAGTATATTTTTCTTTAACTTACAGACCAGTTTCAACTGCTATTACATCCTGATAATATTTGATTGGATACAAAATATTAATTTTTCTCATTTCTGTTGGCTATTTTTTTTTGTATTGCAATACATATCCCAGTGTTTGGTACTATGATTCAGCTAGTTATGTGGAGTCAGTTTTATACTTTTATTTCCTGCTTTTATGATTTTTTTAAAGCAACTCCAAAGTAGTGCTGAATCTATGACTAATTATCCTCTACTGATGCATGACTTTTCTGAATTATCTATTCAATATCCTGTCATTTTTTTCCAGTTTTGTTAGTGAAAACAGCCACTATTCCTGGCTTTATATGAATGCTAGACACTGTTTTTCTTAAACTGTTTCAGATGATTTTTTTTTCCTAAACTGGAACAGTTTCCTCACAGAGATGCATTGTTCAGTACACTGAAAACTTGCAGCAGATCTCTGGGTTTTTTTTTCTCTACTTAAACTTGAGCACTCAGCACTGACTAAACCAAATTTGTGGCTAGATGTCTTTAAACAAAATCTCTTCTTCCAGTTTTCTGTGTTCCTTAAAAACATTTTAACTTTGCAAACTTCCTAAACACAATTAATCTTTTAACTATTCCTGTATATTTCCAAAGCACATTGTGTACACCCTTATTAAGAAACTCAACACTATCTTACAGAAGTGTAAGCACTTGTCTGTCTTCCTTGAAGGGAAAAAAAAATTGATTTGTTGATTTGTACATTTTTACACTTCATAGTAAGAATAATAAGGATTAACATAGTAGCAATTAACAATATTTGTTGTTAGATAAACAATACAGAATTCTCAATCATTTCTGTAACTCAAAAATAAAAGTATAGTCCTGGAATCTAGAAGGCTAATAAAAGAAACAGAGGTACCCCAAATTTTCAAACAGGATTCCAAAAATGAGTCAAGTGTCAATTGTTGTGAGTAAATGAATCAATTTCCTTCTCTTTATTATACAAGTTTTGTGTGCTGGTAATACCTAATATTAAATAAGTATAATATGGGGTATTTATATTCAGTACTAACAGAGTATTAAAAAAACCCTCTCCTTTTTTTCCAAAATAGCAATTTTCTCTCTCTGACACAGTTGTACTATAGTTTATGTTTGTTCTTAAATCATTTAGGACAATTTCCAAAAGGTCTTTGCTTGTAAGACAAGGCTTCACTCTAAGAAATAGGCTTTCAAGTACATAGGGTCCGAGGAAGTGAGTAGCAGGGTACGTAGCAATAAGGATTTTATAAGCCTTTCTTCCTGTCTTCTGACCAAGGCTATCCACGCTTTAATGCTCAGATCATCTGTTGTTTATAATTTCCAGAGAACTATTGATCTTTTTTTTCTGATAACATATAGAGCATAATTATATTTCTTGAAATTTTCTATTTTTAGAAGGATTTGAATTATTTGTCAAAAATTGAATTCAGGTTGAGTCCACTGTTCTCCCTGTAGCTGTTTCTAATTCCGTGAGGTTCTTGTTCTTTGTGCTGAGAATATTCTCTCTTTGAAAGACCGATCTGCCTTCTTCTTCAAATCCTTAGCTTAGATGTAGTTATCTCACCACTGTCTACCATGAGCATGTTTCATTTAAAGAATGAAGCTAATGAAAGGTTTTGGCCCTTGCTCTGCAAGTGAGTAACAGTCGGCTCCAGTATTATTACGTCACATGATAACTATGTAGTTTTCTCCATACCTGGGAAACATCTCTTATACTTGATATGGGAAGTGAAAATAATTTCAACAGATACAGATTTTAGACTGTTTAAAATCACTTTGTATGAGTTAAGAGGATAATCTTTAAATACACTTCCAATTCAGGATTAAGCCCCAAACTTCAAGAGGTTCATTTGATTTTGGCTGTTTCTCAGTTCATTCAATATCATTAGCTGTGCTTAGTGGCAGATTCTTAAGAAGAGGTCTTACTTGCATGTAAGTCAATTGTTTTAGAGAAAATATTAATTAAAATAAGTGGTGAGTGAATTTAAATCAAGCAGGGCCATGCCTCTATTCTGAGTTTAAATCCCTGACTCATTTTTTTCTGTCTTCCTGGATACAATATAGAAATATGTATTTGATAAATATCTCCATCCAGAAAAATGAATTCAAAATCACATTTAGAGCTTTGAACCAAATCTTTCACAGTAACAGATGCTCTTTCCTGAAACAAGCTTATTCCACCCAGTGTATTTAATAGCATCACTTTTACAAGTGAGGGGCAGGTGGGTGGAAGAACATGCATCTCATAACCTGCCTCCCTTCATACTCATTCATATATTGCATGTTTTTCCCATTTGTGTTTTTATAAGCACACAGATTATTATACTTGCATAGCCAGGGTGATACCAGCGAGGCCTGGGGCCCAGCTTTGCAGTGACTGTGACAAGCTTGGAAAAATAACCTGGTTGACAACACATTTATCTGCTAAATGTGTCTTGGAGCAGAGAATAGCAACAATGGAGAAGATACTTTTACTCTTTCTGCCCAGAAAGTCACCTCTGCACTTAGGATAAAGAATAATAAGGAGCCTTGTGGATGGAAAAGAATATATTATTTATTTATAGTACCTTTTTGGTTTTTCTTCTTTTTCAAGAGACTGAAAGAATTAAAGCAACGGGAATTTGCTCGAAATGTAGCTTCTAAGTCATGGAAAGATGAGAAAAAACAAGAAAAAGCACTTAAACGACTTCATCAGCTGGCTGAGTTAAGGCAGCAATCTGAATGGTAAGAATTAAAGGTGTCTGGGATGCTTCAAAACTCTCGTCAACCTATGGGGAAATTTTAAAGGCAAATCTACTGTAACAATGTAAACAAATAATAACTAACTAATAGATATGTCTGAAGGGCAAATATAGTTAAACATACATAAATTAATAACTTTTGGCCTTTGATATTTTTCTTTCCTAATATTGTTAATTTAATGTACTCTATAATGAAATGATCCCAGAATGATTCAAATACATTAGCATTTATTCTATCCAGTTGACTAAATGGATTAATATCACTTCTTAATATATTTTTTAAATTTTGTAATAATAATTTTAAAAACCATAATTAACAATATATCTTAGGGGGTGGGGAATAAGTCTTCTGAACATTTCCGTGTACACACCTGTGTCTAGTACAAATAACACGATCATTGTCTGGCTGACAAACAAGATGTAATTAATGCAGTTAAATTTACCACACAGTGCCATTTAAATTGATAATTATAATATAACAAGTTTTATACTAATACATTCTTGTAGCTGAAAAATAGCAGTTTTACCAAAGCTTGGAACCACTGGATGTTTCAAAGTTGTTACCTGGAATGCAATTAAATTTGTGGATTGTGATTTGTGTTCATATGAATCATAATGTAAAACACTAATGTAGCTAATTAATGTGTTTGACAGCAACCTAGTGAATTGTGAAACTTATGCCTCTGTGCCAGAATTTAAACACCTATTGCTTAAATGGAAAGTAATATATAATAAACAGGAGTGAGTGGCTCAATTAGTTACCACAAAATATTAGACTTAAAAGGTAATTTTAAGGAAACATTTATTTTTGTAGGACCAATTATGAGTAAAAATGCAATTAATATTCAGCTTGCATGTATTTATTTATAACTTTTAGAATAATCTAATTAATTTATGAAAATACATAAAAGATAATCATATTAACAAGAAATGAGAAATTTCATATGAAGACAAAATAAAGGTACAACATGTAGCCAGAAGTAAGGTTAATACAAAAATGCATGCTCTGGGGTCTTATACAACTCTAGAAGCAACGCATACATTTGGTACTGAGCTTTCTACAGCCAACACAATGAGGGACTTACAATATGTTGTGCAAACATACTGTTAATGAGAACTCAGTCCTTGCCAAAATAGGGCTTAGAAGGAAAAGTTCTATTGTTGTTAGGGTAGCATGCAGGAAAAAATCTAGGGAAAGTGTTAATTCCTGTGATTAATAAGGAGATGCAGTAAGTCAGATCATAACAAATGGTACAAGTTCTAACATAGATATACGTCTTTAGACAGGTCCCTTAAGGGCACAACAGTAAATCTAAATAGTCTTAACAAATATAATTTTGGTTGTTTGTTATTATGAAAGTTGTCACACTTCTACATTTCTGCTTACCCATTCTATATTTTCCTCTGGAGTAAATAACAAAGAATCAGAGGTGCCTTGCTGATGGCAGTGGTCATGGTGATGGTGATGATGATAATGATGCTGATGATGATAATGATGCTGATGATGATAATGATGGTGATGATGATGGTTTATTTAGAAGTTCCAAGTTTGCTAGAGCTACCCATTAAGTTTCTTTCAAATAAAAAGGTCCACTCTATTAAGTTTCAGCTGTCCCTCTGGAAGCCTTATTCACTAAACAAACACAAACCTAACCACTCCTTTTGGTGATTTGATAAAATAGGCAAACTCTCTAGGTCACAATGTGCCCGTATTGTTATGGAAAAGACAAGTGTTCAGCTTTCTAGATATAGAGCCTGAAACTAGGAAAATAATTTTTTTTTATCGTCTACTGCCCATCACCTGCCTCTTAGCCAATTGCTCTCTCTGCTTAAACAGACTCATGGTTGAAGGAAAGTCACTTAACAGAATTATTAAATACTTTATTTTAGTAGGTGAATTGACAAGTGAAAGTTAAAAATAAAATAAAAAGAAAAAATCACTGGCATTACCCTTCTCCTGGACAATCTTTTCTTTGTCCTTTTTCCTCATAATGAGGGCTTCTGAATAGGATGATCCAGGTAACACAATTCTTCTGTGACCCTTTGGGAGAAGAGAGGTGAATTTACTGGTAGTGCATAAAATGATGGCAAAAAAATGGTAACAGATCTTATAAAGGGTCATCAAATTTGACCGTCTCTTAACTAGTTCCAGCCAACCTGTTTCCTCAGCAATAGCAGTTATTATATGGGGCTGAGGGTTTAGTCCCTCTCTGTATGTGAACTTCTTATGTATGTAAGTTTTAGTACATCTTAATATGGAAATTTTTCCAAAATTTAAAAATTTTAGGGCCACTGATTCTGAGACTATGAATTTTTTAAGTGGTGTCATTTCTTAATGTTCCACGTTATCTAGCTCTTATATGAAGTTTTTCATATAAGAGCTGGAAAATGGAACACGAAAGAATGACACCATTTTAAAAAATCATGTTGTTTTGATATGTTTTTCTTTCTGTTTGGTAAGGATGCTTTTTGAACAGGAGAGAATCAAAATGTGCATTTGTTAAGCTGCAGAGTATTAGAATTTTTGGAGAACAATTTGAATGGAAAATCCATCAATAAGAATTAAAAACCAAACTCTACAGACACTTTATTAACCATTATTTTAATATAAGTAAGAATATATTTTCAAAACTAAAGAAAGTTCCAAAGAAGTGAGGGAAATATTAAATGTGGAGAAAACTATAAAAATTGAAGTTTCATTGAGAATGCAACTGTGGTTTCAAGGGGCGGGCTGGTGGGAGAAATGTGAAGGTATTGTTCAAAGTTTATAAACTTTCCGATGTAAGATGAATAAGTTTTGAGGATCTAATGTAGAGCATGATTATCTTAGCTAATAATACCGTATTGTTTACTTGAAATTTGCCAAGAGAGTGAATCTAGTGCCCTTATCTCACACAAAATGGTAACTACGTGTATGATAGATGCACAAATTAATTTGTTTGCATACATCAAATGATCACATTGTATACCTTGAATATATACAATTTTTTTCCAGTTATATCTCAATAAACCTAGAAAAAGTTAAAGCTTTAATAATGTTATAATACCCAAACTTGTATTAAAATAGTAGAATTTAAAACCCCACAAAGATAAAAACAGGATTTTCCAAAATAATAAGAATAACTTTGATTTAAGAAAAAGCAAATTAAAATTTATAAAGCAACAAGATAAAAAGTTTAAAGAATAAAAGTAAGAAGTGTCAAAGATTAACAATAAGGACAAAATGTTAAAACTTGTGAAAAATCTGTAATTATAAATGCAGTTTAAATTGGAAAATGAGAACTAGAATTAAGGACAAGAAGCTAGAGAACATTGTATTAGAAAAACAATAAGAGCAAAGAAATTTTAAAATATTTAAAAGAATGTAAAAAGAAGAAGCTTGCATATTAGAGAGCTACATGGTAAAATAAAACAGCAGTACAGAAAAGAACATTTAGATTAACATAAAGCAAGAAAATGAATAAAACAGTGTCAGGATAATCAGCAAAATTATTATTAAGAAAAGTATATATATAATATATTTAACATGATATAATAAATACTAAAATAACTGCATAATAATGGAATTGGGAAAGGAAGAACAATAGTATCCATACACTAGACTTGTGGAATAATTTCAACTGTGTTTCATACAGGTGATAATGTCAGATCGATTGAAGCTTCTGGAGAAGATTAACTTAATCCAGAAGTATAGTTCCTACTTAATCCAAATTGTGGCTACAAATATGGAAAATAATCTCTTTGGTACCAAGGCAAAGTTGAATGCTGCAGCTGTTTCTGGATCACTTCCTTCTATCTGCAGGCTGGAGGCACTTTCAAAGGCCAATAATGTTGTAATAAAGTCTCTACGCTCCTTATTTACTTTTATGCTTGAAAGAAACATTCAGTAACTCATATACTATCTTAGAATGCTCCTCACTATTCATTTTATTAAATATGCCTAATGAACATCAAAAATTTACTCAATAAAAGGAGATTAATGTGATGAATAAGAACTTTCCGTTATGAAAGAGTTACTGTAAGGAAGATAATACAGCTTTTAAAAACGTCTAAATTTAGTTTTTTACAAGATTTAAAGGAACTCTGTAATTCTAAAATTACAGCCATTCATGAAGAGGAGACGTTCTAAAATCATTAAAAGCTAAATGGTGGCTAAAATTAGTGTTTGCAAGTTAAAATCCATATGGTCATAATTTGTAAACAGATTGAATATTGTAAAAAAAACTGAGTCAGTAAAATAGAAATAAAATCAAAGAAATTCTCCCTGAACTATAGAAAAAGACTGAAGACAGAATAAAGTACTGAGATAAATATCAATACCTAAAGGATATATTCAGGAGAGCCAATGATTTTAAAACATAAATTCCAAAGGAAGCAATAATCAGATAAATCAAGGGAAAAAAATGTATCTGAACTGAAGAAAGTTAAATTGAAAGTGCCCAAGAACAAAAATTCACCCAAATTAATCAACCTTAACTATGTTCTATTAAAATGTTATACATACATATATGTATATATTAATATACATGTATATATACTCTTTATGTAACAAATCTAATGAATTATATATATTTATATTTTTACACTTTATAAGAAGGGAAAAGCATACAAGCACACAAGCAGATTCATCTCAAAGATAAATAAAGGGAAGCTAATTCAATATGTCTATAATATGATTCATCTAGAGACAATGAAGCAAAGTACATGAAATTTGGTGGACAAAAGGAATGTGATGACTCTAGAGTTCGATGCTGATTTGCCAAAGAATGGTAAAAGAAACCAACAAGAATTTGTTAGACAAGGACTCAGAAAGCACTACTCTACATTAGAACTTGAGCAACATATGGAAGAGATACCAGTTGGCTTAGTATTTTATATTCAAGCAACAAATGACTAGAGGAAAGTAAAATAAAAATCAAAATTAGAAATAAGCAAACAAACACATCCAAGTATATGGAACAAGAAAAAGAATGCCAGTTCAAAGCAAACAATAAGAAAAATGATGTGATTTGTATTGTCTTCTTTCCAGTGAAGCCTTCTTTTATAGTAGAGGGTATATAGATAGACTGTTAAAGGGCATATAATTTTAATCTAAAGAATTTTATCTCTTATATATGTTGATATTTTCAATCTTCTGTATGAATTGCTAATGAAGCTCAGTAGAACAAATAACCTTTTGAGACCTTTAAAAGATAAAACATATAATGCAGAAATGGTAGAAAAAATATTTTGGTGAGTAAGAAGCAGAAGAAAAGATTTCAAAATCATTGAAGGTATTTAGATAGATTGTACATATGTCTTATTTTATTATGCATTTATTATAATTAGTCAAATTACTGACAAGTCATAAAGAAAGAACTTACCACTGTGTTTCAAAAGTAAGTGAATATGAGGGAATTTTAAACCCAAGGAGCTAAACATTATAAAATGTTAGAAATAGCACATAAAAGCAAATTTAAAAAAATTTTTATATTTTTAAAGTGGCTTTTAATTCTATTTAATTTCTTATTTAATGTGAATGCACTGATTGGAAAACTATTAGTGAAATCATGTTAAATCTGTATTCCAAAGATTGATAGATTCTATAGGACATATATTGTGATGTAAATGCTTTAGAAGCAGTAGCATAAGATAATTCACTTGCTATTGCTTTTTGGTAATTGCAAAATACTACATGTAAACAATTCATTTTAGAAATAGCCACTATACAATTTATGCTAAGCTATATAAGGACAACAAAAGGTTATGTTTTAGAAGATGTAGCTCATAAAATGTAAAATAACTCATCTTAGAAACACTATGAAATGTTCATATGTAGATATGATTCCAAAGCTAATCTCTTAATCATTTAAATATTTATTGTATTTACAGTGTTTCTGGAAATGGACCAGCATACAAAGCCCCCAGGGTAGCCATAGAAAAGCAACTCCAGCAAGGAATTTTCCCCATTAAGAATGGCAGAAAGGTATCATGCATGAAGAGTGCTCTTCTCCTTAAAGGAAAAAATCTCCCCAGAATCATATCCGATAAACAGCGGTCCACCATGCCAAATCGACACCAATTACAATCAGACAGGCGTTGTTTGTTTGGAAATCAGGTACTGCAAACATCTTCAGATCTCAGCAATGCAAATCACAGAACAGGAGTATCATTTACTTTTTCCAAAAAAGTGCACCTAAAATTAGAATCTTCAGCATCAGTTTTCAGTGAGAACACAGAAGAAACCCATGATTGTAACAAGTCACCCATTTATAAAACAAAACAAACTGCAGATAAGTGCAAGTGCTGCAGGTTTGCAAATAAAGATACACACCTTACCAAGGAAAAAGAGGTAAATATCTCACCAAGCCATCTGGAAAGTGTTTTACACAATACCATCTCCATAAACTCTAAAATTTTGCAAGACAAACACGACTCTATTGATGAGACACTAGAAGATTCAATTGGCATTCATGCTTCATTCTCTAAATCTAACATTCATCTTTCAGATGTAGATTTTACTCCTACCAGCAGAGAAAAAGAAACTAGAAATACATTGAAGAACACTTTAGAAAATTGTGTTAATCACCCATGCCAAGCAAATGCTTCCTTCAGCCCACCAAACATTTACAACCATAGTGATGCCAGGATATCTGAATGCCTGGATGAGTTTTCATCACTGGAGCCAAGTGAACAAAAGAGTACAGTGCATCTGAATCCAAATTCCAGAATAGAGAACAGAGAAAAATCTTTAGATAAAACAGAAAGAGTTAGCAAAAATGTTCAAAGACTTGTAAAAGAAGCATGTACCCATAATGTGGCATCTAAACCACTACCTTTTCTCCACGTTCAAAGCAAGGATGGCCACACCACTCTTCAATGGCCTACGGAACTTCTGCTCTTTACAAAAACAGAACCCTGTATCTCTTATGGCTGCAACCCACTGTATTTTGATTTTAAGCTTTCTCGGAACACAAAGGAAGACCACAATCTAGAGGACTTAAAAACAGAATTGGGTAAGAAGCCCTTGGAATTGAAGACTAAAAGAGAGAGCCAAGTCTCAGGTTTAACTGAAGACCAACAAAAATTGATCCAAGAAGATTATCAATATCCGAAACCAAAGACGATGATAGCTAATCCGGATTGGGAAAAATTCCAGAGGAAATATAATTTGGACTACAGTGATTCTGAGCCAAATAAGAGTGAATATACTTTCAGTGCAAATGATTTGGAAATGAAAAATCCTAAAGTGCCTCTTTACCTCAACACATCTCTAAAGGATTGTGCTGGAAAGAATAATAGTAGTGAGAACAAACTTAAGGAAGCTTCAAGGGCCCATTGGCAAGGCTGCAGAAAGGCAGTTCTAAATGATATAGATGAGGACCTATCTTTTCCTTCCTACATCTCTAGGTTTAAAAAGCATAAATTGATTCCCTGCAGTCCTCATTTGGAATTTGAAGATGAAAGACAATTCAACTGCAAGTCCAGTCCTTGTACAGTAGGGGGTCACAGTGACCATGGGAAAGACTTCAGTGTAATTTTGAAGAGTAACCACATCAGCATGACCAGCAAGGTTTCCGGATGTGGAAACCAAAGATACAAGAGATACTCTCCACAGTCATGTTTGAGTAGATATTCTTCCTCTTTGGACACATCCCCTAGCAGCATGTCTAGCTTGAGAAGTACTTGTTCAAGTCATAGATTCAATGGTAATAGCAGAGGTAATTTGCTCTGCTTCCATAAAAGAGAACACCACTCAGTTGAAAGGCACAAACGGAAATGTCTAAAGCACAACTGCTTCTACTTGTCTGATGATATAACAAAGAGCAGCCAAATGCAGTCTGAACCACAGAAAGAGAGGAACTGCAAATTGTGGGAATCATTTAAAAATGAAAAATACTCAAAACGTAGATATTGTCACTGCAGAGAAAGACAAAAACTGGGCAAAAATCAACAACAATTTTCAGGGCTAAAATCTACGAGAATCATCTATTGTGATTCTAACTCACAGATTTCCTGTACTGGAAGCAGTAAAAAACCACCTAATTGCCAGGGAACTCAGCACGACAGATTGGACTCTTACTCAATAGAGAAAATGTATTACTTGAATAAAAGCAAGAGAAATCAAGAGTCTTTGGGCAGCCCTCACATTTGTGATCTGGGAAAAGTCAGGCCCATGAAGTGTAACTCCGGGAATATCAGCTGCCTTCTAAAGAACTGTTCCAGTGGCCCTTCAGAAACCACAGAATCAAACACTGCAGAAGGAGAGAGGACCCCTCTAACAGCAAAAATCCTTTTAGAAAGAGTACAAGCCAAGAAATGTCAAGAACAATCAAGTAATGTTGAGATCTCTTCAAACAGTTGTAAAAGTGAATTAGAGGCTCCTTCGCAAGTCCCATGCACAATTCAACTTGCACCATCAGGCTGTAACAGACAAGCATTGCCTTTGTCTGAAAAAATACAGTATGCAAGTGAGAGCAGAAATGATCAAGACAGTGCAATTCCAAGGACTACGGAGAAAGACAAAAGCAAAAGTTCACACACAAATAATTTTACAATTTTAGCAGACACTGATTGTGATAACCATCTTTCTAAAGGTATAATTCACCTAGTAACAGAGTCTCAGTCACTAAACATAAAAAGGGATGCAACAACAAAAGAACAATCAAAACCTTTAATTAGTGAAATCCAACCTTTTATTCAAAGCTGTGACCCAGTACCAAATGAATTCCCTGGTGCTTTTCCGTCTAATAAATATACTGGTGTGACTGATTCAACAGAGACCCAAGAAGACCAAATAAATCTAGACTTACAGGATGTAAGCATGCATATAAATCATGTAGAGGGAAATATAAACTCTTACTATGACAGAACTATGCAGAAACCTGACAAAGTCGAAGACGGATTAGAAATGTGTCATAAATCTATCTCTCCCCCTTTAATTCAACAGCCCATAACATTTTCTCCTGACGAAATAGATAAATATAAGATCCTACAGCTACAAGCCCAGCAGCATATGCAGAAGCAACTCCTATCAAAGCATCTTCGAGTTTTGCCTGCTGCAGGGCCTACTGCCTTCTCTCCGGCCTCAACCGTACAGACAGTTCCAGTTCACCAGCACACTTCTATCACCACCATCCACCACACGTTCCTGCAGCATTTTGCTGTTTCTGCTTCCTTAAGTTCTCATAGCAGTCACCTCCCTATTGCTCATCTACATCCTCTTTCACAGGCACATTTCAGTCCTATTTCATTTTCGACTCTGACTCCAACCATTATCCCTGCACACCCCACTTTCTTAGCAGGTCATCCCCTGCATTTAGTAGCTGCTACCCCCTTCCACCCATCTCACATAACACTTCAGCCTCTGCCCCCTACAGCATTTATTCCTACATTGTTTGGTCCTCACTTAAATCCAGCCACAACTTCTATCATCCACTTGAATCCTTTAATCCAACCAGTATTCCAAGGTCAAGATTTTTGCCATCATTCTTGCTCTAGCCAGATGCAACAGCTAAATGAAGTGAAAGAGGCCTTAAATGTGTCCACACACTTGAACTAATAAGTGTTAAAGCCCCTCCTGTGGATAATTTTTTTAATTGTCACTACCTATAAAATCATACATTTAAAGAAGTCTGTCAATTATAAGATTTAAAATATTGCTGCCAATTCAAAATGTGACAAATATATAAATATGATCTGAATTGCTAATACTAAAACAAGAGCATTTTAATAATTTTTTAGCTTGCCAAAATAATAGGCAAATTTGAATAATTTTATGAAAGCGTAGAGGGAAGAGGGAAAGAGTTAAAGATTTGTTTTGGATGGGTTCTCGCATAATGTTATAAAATAGCAACAGAAAACATTCAAGCAGAGCATTAAAATTAAAAAGAAAAATCAAATGAAATATGGCACCCTGCGTTCTAAGTATTTGTTGTGTGAATGAATGAGTGTTGATTTGGCTTATTTGTTAGATAATAAAAGGTCAGTGAAATGAAGCAATTATTTAAAGTAATTTATGTCGTTAACTATTGACTAAGTTTTCAATTAATGTAGTCTGTTACTGTATTTTCATAGGAAATAAGAACAAGACATTTTCTGATTAATTTAGGTTGAAAATTACATTTTAATGAAAAACAATCTTTATAGATTATACTTTTGAGTTTCTGTGAAAAATAAATTATCTTCATTTCACACAAATCTATGTCAAGATAATTTTGTAATTGTAAGAATCAGCAAAATCTAAAACTAAGAATGTTTAACTTTTGTATAAAAACATATACAAACTATCATTAGTATTTGATAATGCAAACTCAAAAATAAAACGTGCTCAGAATAACCTTTTAAATATATTGGTCAATCTGTCAAATATAACAGGAACTAAAATATTGTTTATTATTCTTCTACTCAAAAATTTTACTACGTTCAGCCAATACATGTATAAGGATAGAGGTAAAGGTTTGAAAATGTCAGTGTTTTTACATGTTTATTGAGGATATCTTATTAAATATCTGGTGTGTTTTATTCAATTGTACTAGATATTTATGAAACAATGAATAATGATGAATAAATTCACCATCCATGTAATGTTGCAAATAATTTCAAACATTCATTCAAAATGGTTTTTGGCCGCCAAAATTTGCATTTCATACATCTATATTGGTGCATAATCCTACAGTTAGGTTTATTATTTTATGTTCTTAAGCATGAGTTTCAGAGAAAATCAAACTTAACAGAAATGGAGGTAATCATTTATCTAATGCTGTCTATACGAAGATGCAAACTCCTCTACCACTAGAAGATTAGAGGATGTCTTCTTCAGCCTTGGCTGCAAAAGGAAGATAGCTATATTTAAGGCTTGTTGTGATTCAGGTACAGTTACCCTATCCACTTGTTTGCATTATCTTCTTTAATTTTCACAACTGTATTTTGAAATCAGTATTATCATTCCTCATTACAGATAAGGAAAATGAAATAGAAAGGTTAAATACTAAATACTTGGTAAACAGTAGGAAAGGACATCGTTGATTCAGGAGAGACTGGTGAGAGAGAAAGAGAAAGAAAGGGTGGAGGGAAGAAAAAGAATAAAAGGAGATAAAGTAAATTTGAAATTTTAACAGAAAGAAAAACTGCAGTTCCCAAGATATCACTAGAAACTTGTGAGATGAGAGTTCTGACTGGTACATAACACTGACAGAATCTAAATTTAAAATGAATGGAGAAATGAAGAAAAACCATCAAATAGCAAGGAGCTATACTTGCATGGAATTCCATAAAAATGATTATAAAAGATCACTGATGAACATTGAGTAAATCCAAAAAGAAGCAAGACAAACGAAATATTTCTTATAAAATGGATGACAAATGGTCTAGCAGATTTTTTAAGTCCTGTGGATAATTATTTCCTAAAGCAAATTACAAAGCTGATGCAGAGCCAAGATAGAGTAATCATGGAAACTCACTAGATGTCCTATTATAAAAAACACTGACCACTTGATTGATTTTTATAATTGCCTTGGTGACAATTTAAACTCTCAGAAGGTTAGACCCGAGCACCTCTACTGAGCACTTAATTTTGACTAACAAAGACAGATTGATATGAACGGATGACATGGAAGTGACTATTCCATCTTGTATTAACAGTGATGAGGTGTTCACTGGACAAACTAATTTGGACTATGTGGAAAGCAAACATCTCCCTTTAAATAAAAGATAATTTGTACTCCAGGGTGAGAAATTGGAAAAGTTGTGGCATCACGTGAGGAAAGATGCAATTATGCAACTTACTTCCCCCCAAATCAGTAACTGTAGGCTGAAACACTGTTTTATTTTCCATTTTACCTTGAGATAAACACACTTTGGGAAAAAAAAAATTTTAATATATATTGAACCCTAAAATAGTTCGATTTTAAAAAAATTGTCACTGTGATGGATTGTATTTTTAGCAGTGTTTCCTTCCATTTACATAATTATTTGACAGGTGACTTTTAGCATTAAATTTATTTTATGACTATTGCCTGATATTTACAGGTTAATTTTCTTTATGGGATTACTGTTTCACAAGTGGCTCATGGAGGCAGTTTTTAAAAAATCTGTCTTAAGCTCTAAATGCTTAAGAAAGGCTGTGAAATCTTTCCACACAAGTACACACACATGCATGCACAAACACACATTTATCTATCTATATGTCTTTCTTACAGATTATGAACCAGTCTAGCATCAGATAGCATCATTGGATTCGAGGTAAATGAAATAAATGCTTTGTATGAAGCACTGAAAATTTGGGAATGTTCATCTTCTTAATAATTGCCTGCCAAATTCAGCAAGAAAAAAAATACAATGGGCCTATAAAAATGCAAAGGTAAACTTAAGGTTCATCTTTAAGACGTTATAAATGAAATATTGGAAGTGATTAGAATATAGAGAATGATTTAAAAAGTCTCCAATTCCCAGAGTTTTTGCTTAGGTAGACATTTTATAAAATAATCCCTTGAAATTTGTTTCACTTCCCGAAAATGGATTTTACAGTGACTCCTTTTCTTTAGTTTCTGCCAGGACTTAATGGAATCTCTCTGTTATCTCTAAATGGAAATACACTTAAAGAAACTAATTCTGTAAAACGTTTCTGTTAAATGAAACACTTAACCAGTACAATTACTCAAGATTATATTGCTGAATCTGACTATCTCCTTAGTGCATGAAGTTATTACTTACACAGCTCAAAATGCTGGCAGCAACAGAGCTTTCTGAATTTTACCACCATACTTTTAAGTTGATCCTAAAACATTATACATTTCAAATCATTTGATACAATAATTGGAGATATGGAGATGGCTCTACCCATTAGGATACCGATTGGTATTCAAGTGTCCTAGATGTATATGAATGAAACGTCCAGATCCCCTCCCCAGGATGTGTGGATGTTTAACTCTTTAGTGGTGAAATAGTACTGCTGATCATCTCAAATCAGTAGCACATTTCTTAATCATTCCTAAAAAGTTCTCCACGTTTTCAGTTTCTGAGTTTTCAGAAACATAGTTAACATTCTGAAAAAAACATGTAAATGTCATATCCAGTTTTGTAAAAACACAATTTAAAAGATCTAAATCTTACATATCAATGTATGCAGATAAGATACTCAGGGGCAAAATGGACCTAATGCTCATCTCTGGC
The DNA here is from genome assembly GCF_000001405.40 of Homo sapiens. NCBI lineage: Eukaryota > Metazoa > Chordata > Mammalia > Primates > Hominidae > Homo > Homo sapiens. Next base: position 89,340,644 of record NC_000007.14, read on the forward strand.
TCAGCAAAGCTCATGAAAAGGTTTAGTTTTGATTCTTTAAATTAGATGAAATTCTGAAGGAAAATGTGCTCTCATTGGCAAATAGAAACATTATTAAAAAGCATGTGAGTGGCTAGTTCCACACAATAGTCAGGAAAACAGATAGTTGCCTTTTGTGTTTCAGACTGAAACCACTTCAATAAGATGAGCATTTCCTACTAAAATACTAGTTCTCGTGCCAATAAGCCTGGGTCTAGAGGATTTTCAAAGGTTATCATTTCATTCCAGCAAAAATATTATCCACTTCTTCTATTAGGTAGACATTGAAAGTGATTGTTGTATCTTTGGATTAAGCTATATTAAAATGGAAGCAGCAGCTGAATGGGTTAGGTTTAGAATAAGCCAATATTAGAAAGAGAAGCCAAAGGGTCATTTTCATTCTATGGAGCTATATATAGGGGGGAGAGCTCCCAATCCACTTTTAAAATTATTTTCTCAAAGTCACTTCCTCTTTTTGCAACCCCCCATTTTTCTTAAATAGCAAGAGTAAGAATATCTTGTGAGAAGCATTAAAATAAAATCAGGCAAATTGGAAAACTTAAAATATGTATGAGTGCACATGTGAGTGTGAATCTGTGTGTGTTTTTAATAAATATACTCTTTAGTCTTTAATTGTACATCTTGATCTTTGTTGAAAATAGTGTTTTTTAAAACATATTCACATATTGAAACAACAACTTCAAGAAGAGGTTTCTTATCCCCAAGCAAAATTGTTAGTTCCTTCCATATGTGAGATAAAATAGTTGACAATGTAAATTAGTCGTATAGCTGTTTAAAGCAAATTCCCATCTTACTCAATTCTATTTAAAGTACTAAATTTGTAATTAAACTTGGTGATCCTCTGGCAATATGACACATAAACCAATAATTTTATGTTGCATTTTCTGTATAAATTGTCTTTTTAAACTATACTGTGGCTAAGTAAATTGCACTATTGTACATGCAAAGCAGCTTTTTTAGGTTATTCAATAAATTACTTGGACTGTAGTTCAATGCAATAATATTTTTTTCGATAAAAAGCTTAATGATATAGGAGTGTTAGTCATGTATTTCTAACAAAAAGCATACCAAAATATAAGAACAAACTCAAATGCAAAATGGTGTGGAAATATTCTGTGTTTTACACTGCTGAATTAAAGTGCATTTATCATTTTATTTATTACTGTATGTATTTATATTATATATTTAAAGGCTGGGATTTCTTAGACTATTTCTTAAAATTTTAGTGTTATTAAAATAAGCTGTTTCCTCAAGCTGAAAATAAATATAACTTTAAAAATTCTATGGATGTATTCTTTGTTGAAACCTATCATATATATACATATACTGTAAAATCTGTTTCTTTTTATTTGCTTTTAAAAATGTGAACTAATGCTTTGCAATGTTCTAACAAAGCTTCATAAATAGTCTCAGGAATGTATTCTCTAGCTGGTAATATCATATAATATGGTAGCATTCTACACATTTATTATAACTTTCATATGAACTCTAGAGATACTTTAATTAAAAGAAACCCCAGTAAGTTGTTAGTCTCAATAGGACTCAACTCACTAGGAAATCTCTTTAATCAAGCATGACCAATGTTGTGGGAAAATGACATTTCATACAACTCCCATTCATCTTTACTTTCTTAATCTTTGCACTCCAGAGTACCTGGATGCTACTCTGATATTTGTGCAAAATATCAGAACCAGGTGTTGTTAGAAATAACCACTAGATACTCCCTTGTTCTTGAATTACATCTATCCTTATCCTTCCCTTTACCCTTCAATAAGCTTTAACCAAATCCTAAATCTCCTTACTTTAGTGTTTTAATTGAATGAGCTGTCACTACCTGTGCATTTCAATGGAGCAGAACTTTGCAATGCACTCTCAACTAGTGGTAGAGTTTGAGTTTTCAGTAGATAAATGTTTCAGAGGCCAGTCACCTGCTGCCCTACACTTCCAGCCTAGATTCCCTACTTTTATGCTAGATCATTTATTAGAATTCTGCTATGTAATAAAAAAGTATCTTTTCACACAATACATACACATCCACACACAACTACATGCACACATGTGCATACCTACATTGTTGGTGGAGTCATGACAGAAACTGTCCTTTCTTAATAAAATTGTCACCATTTATTGAGTACCTAATATGAGCCAAATACTGTTTATGTCCTCCCCACTAGCTATATTCCTGGATTCCCCCTGAGGAGAAAAATAAGTTTCTCCTGAAAATGAAAGTAGATTTTATATATATATATATATATATATATATATATATTTTTTTTTTTTTTTTTTTTTTTTTTTTTTTGAGACGGAGTCTCGTTCTGTCGCCCAGGCGGGAGTGCTGTGGCGCGATCTCCGCTCACTGCAAGCTCCGCCTTCCGGGTTCACGCCATTCTCCTGCCTCAGCCTCCCGAGTAGCTGGGACTACAGGCGCCCGCCACTGCGCCCGGCTAATTTTTTGTATTTTTAGTAGAGACGGGGTTTCACCGTGGTCTCGATCTCCTGACCTCGTGATCCGCCCGCCTCGGCCTCCCAAAGTGCTGGGATTACAGGCGTAAGCCACCGCGCCCGGCCGAAAGTAGATTATATTAATAATTACACTAAGACAAAGGAGCAAATGGTAATCTATGGTCTCTATACTCAGAGCCTGCTCTTCATAATGTGTGAGCCTTCTGCCTTTGTTCACTCTGTGTCATTTTTTGGCTCATCATAAAAATTTTTGCACCAATAGAAAATGACTGTCGCATACTCTTTTTTTAAATTTTTTTAAGAGACAGGACCTCACTCTGTCACCTAGGCTGGAATGCAGTGGCACCATCATAGCTCACTGCAGCCTCAAATTCCTGGGCTCAAGCAATATTCCTGCCTCATCCTCCAGAGTAGCTGGGACTACAGGCACATGCCACCACACTCTGGCTAATTTTTTAAATTTTTTTGTTGAGACAGGGGTCTCACTAGGTTGCTCAGGCTGGCTGCAAACCCCTGCCTAAATTATCCTCTGAGCTCTTCATCCCAAAGTGCTGGAATTACAGGTGTGAGCCACTGTGCCCAACCCAACACATACTCCTGAGGTTGTTTTCTTTTACTACATTTACTGGTAGACTTGAGTCATTTCCCAAATATCACTTTATTAATACTTTGAATTCTAGAGAGGAAACATAGCAGAACTTTCTGAAGGTGCTTAGCAATAAATAAATAAATGAAACCACTCAGCAGACTGGCACACTCAAGAGAATACTATACTTTATAAAGAATCATCAGTCAAACACCTTACAAGTTAAATGTTTTCTTTATATTTTGTTTATCAGAAAGAGATTTCAAAGACACAGGATTTCAATTATTTGTCTGGGATACAGCATGACATCTTCAGAAGAGGAAGCAAACTCTGATACCTATTCATGGAATTGCTTCATTCATTATCAGGATATTTTAACAGATGCTTTTGTCTTTTGTTATATTTTATTCATAGTTTGTGGGCAAAAATATTTCTTCCATATTTCCAAGACTTAAAGAAAATATATTCTAAAAATAGGCAATTAGGAAATAACTGGGATGTAACTCTCTGTTCTTTAAACCCCTAACTCCCCAAATAGTTGCTTGGGAAATTGTATTATTCTGTTTCATACTGCTATAAAGAACTACCTGAGACTGAGTCATTTACAAAGAAAAGATGTTTACAGATATACACAGTTCCAAGGCTATACAGGAAGCATGGCTTGGGAAGCCTCAGGAAACTTAAAATCATGGTGGAAGGGTGAAGGGGAAGCAAGCATGTCTGCCACATGGTGGAAGGAGAGAGAGCAAAACTAATATACATTACGTAGCTACTGCATGCAAGGCACAAATATAGCAGTAAATAAACTATCTAAAATTTCTGCTCTTACCGAGCTTCCATTTTAGTGGAGGGGTAAGAAAAAGAACAAAATAAATAAGCAAAAGATGTGATCAAAATTAGTAAGTGCTGAAGAAGCCAATGGCCATCTACACATAATGGAAGAGCCTATATTTGTTCCAAAATCTGTTTTATTATGAAATCTATGCTTATTCTTCTACATGAAATGGTATAAGATAGTGATGATTATCTGGGCAATGATGCATGTTTGTTTGGTTGCTCCACTAAAGAAGAATGATGAGTTTAAAGAAATTCATCTATTTTGAATGGCCTGTAGAGAATAGTTATAAAATTTACCCTAATGTTCGCCATGTTAAGCCTATTTTGACTTTGAGCCTGGAATTCCGTAATTGCACTGCTTCAAAATGTGTTGCTATTGAATAATTTAAAATGCAATATATGGTTATAGGAGAGACGATGGCATATTTACGAAGATATGAATGCAACATTGTAGTCATCAGTAATTAATGCATGTTCAAAAAGAAAAAAATGATTTCAGAGAATGACAAGTGCAGTAGTCATCTGAGTTCTCTGTTTTAGGAAGGCAGTTAGGTGTGAGGAAAACCTCTAGCTTTTGGCAAAATCTACAGGGAAATTCCATTTCATCAAAAGGATAGGCTCCTCAGGGTTTGCTGCCATTGTCTAACTAGTTGCTGTATTTATTAAAGTGTGACTGTTTCATGTCTCTTTGATGTGAAGCCATTTTCCTAAATCCCACAATCAATAATTATTTACTGGGCTTTTTGTTTTCTGTTATCCTAGTTATTTCTTTTTTTTCCCCCACTGACTTAAACAATAGCACAATTCCTTTTTTCTCCGTCTAGGAGCAGAATGAAAACTGTAAAATCATCCCATATGAAAATCTAAACTATATGAGAAATGTTACTTCTTGATTTCTAATTGATTATCTTTGCAAATGATAAATAAATTAATTATCAATAAGTGAGGCTGTCTAATAAATGAAGCTTTTTGGATTGTTGTTACACAGAAAAATGTATCTTTGGGGATGATATCAAGTGTTTCTCCTTGGAAAGCCAGACTCTGAATTGCAGCACTGCCTGGCCTTGGTTTCTTATTTCAAATTGAGCTGTCCCATTCTTGATGGCAGCATGGGGTTGGTTGTCACCACTTATATATATAGATGTTTCAGTGCTTCAGGCTGATTTCTGGCATGTCCTTGAAGGATTACACTGGCCCTCTTGGGCATGCCTGTTCTCCTTCTGCTCCTTAGATATTCTGCCCTCATCAATTTTTCTCACATGCCAATCCTGTTGGAATTGAGTTTTCACAATAATTGTGAAAAATATAAAGAAACAAATGCATCCTGAACCCTGACTAGTGTGAATTTTATTCTGCCTACTGAGGTTGCATGGGTGGTAGTTGCACTAGAATTTAGTAACTAGCTGTGACAAGGAGTCAAATTCTTATAAATTGAGTGTTTGTAACCACACAGTTACTTTGTCAACTTGAGATCTGATGTATGATAGTGTTCTATTAAGAGAAAATGAGTTCATGTGCCAATTTGAGAGGCGTGTCATTAATGAAGATTTCAGAGAGATAAGAGCTTAAATATTTTCATAGAGGAGTGAGCTTATCCAAAACTTTTCAATGTTATTCATGTTTCCTCAGTCAAGATGTACAGACATATCAGGAAAAACATAGCAATCATAGTTGACTAGCAGGTTAAAGAGAAATGGTCACAATCTATTTGTCTCATCTACTTTCCCCCACAAAAATGATAAACATTTAATTGGCTATGCCAGGATTGTCAAGATCTAGAACAGTGGTGTACTTGTCATTTTGCATCCTCCTTTTTTTTTTAACTTACTATTATAACATTTTCCTTCTTGCTACATTGTTTCTTAATTAGCATTTTGAATTAGGAAGAAAAGTGCATGGAGTGTATATACTATAATTTACATAACCATTCCCCATGTTATTGTTATTTAGACTTTCCCCCAGCTTTTTGCAAATATAAAGAATGCTTCAATGAACATTTTTGTAGATGTGGTATTTTTTCTTCTTATCATTACTGATATATGATTGGTTCTTGGAAAAGGAGATCAAAACACACATATTAATGTTTTGTATATATTACCAAATTGCTTTCCAATGAGTTTTATCAAGGTCATAAATATAAATATATCAAAAACCATATCAAAAACAGTAATGTGCTATAATTCATTCAACTCTTCCTTCTCCTATCATTATCATTATAATCATCATCCTATTATTATTATTCTAGCTATACTATAATTATACCATAATTATATAATGATTGAAGATTTAAAAAGACTTTGGTATGTTCTTTTGTCCTTTGTAAGTTAAAAAATAGTTATAGTTTCTACTTTTTGAATTATCTGTCAATATCTTTCGGAATCTATGTAAAATAAGAATGTGTGTGGGAGTTTATAGCTCTTGTTCTTTAATGGACTACAAATAAGCCTTAATCATTATGCTTCACAATTTTACTCCTAAACTTGCATACCTACACTTTATACCCCATCGAAATGTCTAATTGCCTGTCTAGGAATCAAATATCTTCCTGTAGGATCTTGTCTCTTGTCATTGTATTACACATATTTCCTTTAGAAAGAAAAAATTATACTAACAATAAATGCTAACTAGTTCTTTCAAAGATATCAATAATGGTAAAAATGCTGTTCCCATATAGTAGAAAGTCATAGAATCTTATAATTAGGAGAGAATTTAGAGATCATCTGGGGCCAAGAACAGCAACTACAATCTTGTAGACACCCTGTTTGACTTACTGAATGAATGACTGAATCTAATATTGTGCTTTCATTTTTATAAACAATGAATTTTCTAAAGTGTGTCCCAGGAATACAAATGAATTTGCCAGTGTAAGCTGGTATTGAATAAAGAAATTTAACTCTTAACTATAATACTGTGCCATCCAGATTTAGATTGATGGCAAAAGTTAAGAGCGTTAGTGATAACTTAGATGATGGACCTTAGAACTGAACTACTCAGTTTCAAACCCCCTTTCATTTTCTAGATGTGTGACCTGAGGCAAATCAGTTAACCTCTCACAGCCTCAGTTTCTTTATTTAAAGATGTATATAATGATAGTACAATCTGTATAATAAGGAATTTGACTGGAATTGTAGCCTCTAAACCCTTGGAATAAGAAATTTGGCTGGCCTATGTCCTGGGTTTCTAGAAGGTAGTCTCTAAATTCTAGGACTTCCCTGAGTGATATGTGTGTCTTTGATATTTGTGGTTAGCCTTGATAGTTTATCCTTATGAGGTGACCCATGGTCTGCTCCTAGACAGTTTAAAGTAATGAGATTACTCAGGATGGAAGCCGGCCGTGCCAAAAAGACAACATGTGGTTAGCGAGTTGTGGCTTTGAGCCAGATGATATCAGCCCAACCTCCAGAGAGGGGAGAGGAGAAATGGAGGTTGAGTGACATGGGCAAGAATTTAATCAATTGTGCCTATGTAATTAAGCCCTGACATAACCTATGCATACAATGTTCTGGTGTGCTTCCTTGGTTGTTAACACTCTGTGTCATGACTCCAGGAAGAGAACAATGGAAGCTTTGCATTTCGAATCCTCTTAGAGGTTGTTCTATGCAACTCTTCTTTTAGCTGGTTCCGATTTGTATCCTTTTTGCTGTACTAACATTGTCATCAAATGTATAGTACTTTAGTGAGTTCTGTGAGTTGTTTGTCGTGAATTGAGCCTGAAGGGGTAGTAGGAATCCCCAGATTTGTTGCCAGTTGGTCAGAAATAAAGATGGCCTTTGGACCCTTGAACTTTCAGCTGGTGTCTGAAGTAAAGGTAGTCTTGTGAAGGATTGTGTCTTTAACCTGTGAAGCTTATCACAACCTCTGGGTAATTGGTGTAAAAAATTGCAACATCTCATAGAGTTATGAGAATTAAATAATGCTTAGAATAGTAACCATATGTAATAAACACTGTGTAAGTGTTAGATATTGTAATTATCATTAAAAGTTCAGGTTTTCTCATGACTGATAAATATAATGTCCATATAATAAGCATTGGTCATTTTTTACTTAGTACTTTTTATTTAACCATTAAAACAGTTCTATAAAATGTTTCCATATGGCCATTTTCCCAGTTGTCTGTTTTAAGGAAACATCTAGTGAGTGGTAGTTCTGACATTAAAAAAAGAATAAAAGGTCTGTGTTCTTCATTACAATGTAATATATAGCCTTTCCCACTTATTCCAACCAAAGGCTAAAATCTCATTTTCTAGAAACAACTATTACATTTATAATCACTTAAAAATTTTTTGGCTGATCTTTTGCTGACAAAAGAATGGAAAGTTTACTTCCAGATTTCTGTACAATCTAAGCTAACTGACTCACTGTACTGAATGTTCAGCTATCTGTCATAGCCAATAGATTCCAGAAATTATAATAGTGCAAACTCAATAAGTGACTATTTTAAAAATAAAATTTATTAAAATGTATTTGTAATAGAAGCACTGAATGAATAAATAAATCCACAAGTCTCTTGAAGCCAGCAGGCTGATAGGTGTTCTTCGTCTTCAAATTCTGGCTCCCAATGCTTTCTTGAGTGTCATCTTTAATTCAACTGAACAGAGGTGGGGAAGGAAGTGGGGAGCAAGAGGACATGCAGGAGAGGAATGGGAAAAAATATAAAACATTTAATATGGTTTAAGCCTAGAAGTAATTTCAGCTCACATTCCATTGACTAGATCTCAGTCAGGTGGACCCATCTAAGCGCAAGGGAGGCTGGGAAATACAGCATGTCTGTGGAAGAAGAGGAGAAAATGCAATACTAATAGTTTAATATTTCATTCTTAATTTTTCATATGCTTTGCTGCCCTATCAAGTCCTTGCAGGAAGTAGTCCATAACAATTCAATGCTGATTATTTTATTAAAATCCTTTCCTTCAGTGAAATACCCTACTTGCCTATCACGACTAAAAGTCTCTCTTTTTCACAGGTGAAATTGTAGTTCTGATTCTGGCAAATTTAAATATTTGTTTCTTCTTCTGAGTGAATGAAAACCAAAATGTTTAAGATTGTGCTTGCTCTTTTTCTTATTGTTTCTGGCTTCTTATCCCAAGCCTTAACACTTGCTTTTCTTTCTCCTTCTCTTGACCCATATCATGTGATTAAAAAAGGGGGGTGGGGAAATGATGTTTGCTGGTCCTGAGAAAATGGAAATGTGTAATTTCAGAATCCCAGGGTTTTCTAAGGGAATGTTGTGCTAAGAGCATGATCCAGGCTCTATTTTATAGCAGGTCAGTTATTCATCCTCTGACCCTCACCCCTCTTTCTTCTGACACTTCTTGTCCTTTGGTTTCAAAATATTACCTTAGAAAACTATAAAATAATAAATACCTAGCACTGTCCTGTTGCACAGCAGTTTCTTAAACATTGCACTCATTACTGAATTTTCCATACCGCACCTGCCAGTTCAATGAGAGATAGTCTATTTCATTGTATAATTCCTCATCTTGCAGATTTGCTTCAAAAGTCTACAAAATAGACAAGCACAGGCTTTATAAAAGTCCTTACCTTTAGGTGCTTGGTGATGTTCAATTGACCTATGAAATTACATATTTATAATTGATCAACTGCTTATGGTTATCATGCTTTCTTTTACTTTACATTCCCAACAACTTAGCATATATAATCAGCTGAATTCCCTTTCAACAGAAGCTTTATCATTCTTGAAATAAGAAAAGAAAAAAAATCACCAAAATGATCACTTAGAATGTCACAACTACACTTTGTACACTTTGCAGTATGTGACCTATCCTGGGAAAAGGCATATTCTTGGCAGAATGTTGCCCTGAATCATCATTTCAGAACTGTTATGCCTGGGAACCAATACTCTAAGTGTGGAATACAACTGAAGACCAGGAGAGGATGGAGAAGCATTAAGAATTAGGTTTCACCTCTGATTTCTAGGAAAGTGGTGCATTCTTATAATGAAATGTAGATATTCCCACAGTTTGATCAATAAAACAAAAATTGGTAGGAGTATGAAATATATCAAAAATCAAGGCAAAAATGTATAAATCATCCAAGACATTCATTATTATTTAAAGCTTTTGGATACTTGGAAAACTATTTGACCTTTGTTAACTTCCATTAAAAAATTAAGGCAATGAACTTTCATACTAAAATTTTTCCCCAAAGAAAGTGTGCACATTTTAAGTGTCTGAATACATTTTAGCTAATGCCAAAATGTTTCTATCATTTCTTTTGCATATATTTTACTTTTTTATTTAGAATTCTGTAAACACACACACACACACACACACACACACACACAGTGTTGTTTTTATTTCATTTTTTTGTTTTTGTTTTTCATACAGGCTTGTTTTCAACCAGGCATAAAGGTAATAGAAAAATAGAGATTCTTTTTTAAAAAAATAGTTTGAACTAAACAAAGTTTTAGATTAGTTAAGAGACTTCTGGCTTTTTAGTCCAGTATTTTTACAAACATGCAGTTTTGCTTTCTCTTCATTCTGGTTCATTTGGGTATTATTTTTAAAAGAATGACTTTGGACAAAATAAAAACCTGCTTAAGGTCACATAAGTTAGCATAACATGCTAATAGCTTATATTCACGTTAAAAGATACATATTCAGGTCAAGTCCTTACTGATTTTAAGACTGAGTGACCTATGCCAAGTGGACATTTGCTGTCAGAAAAGTGTCCCTTCAGTATCTCTAGGGAGCAACGAGACTACAGGTGCTATAAGAACCTATAAATAATAATGAATGTCTTGGATGATTTACACACAATGTGACTAAAATAAAATAAGAGGTGATAGTTGAAAAATTCTAATTTGTTTTGACCTCCAAATTTTTTATCTTAGAAAGTATGCCTCCTAACAGGCAGTGCTATCGAGTAAAGAACAAAACCTTTGGACTGATACTATCTGATTTCAGATTCCAGCTCCATCCTTTACCAGCTATGGATACTTGGGAAACTACTTGACCTTTGTTAACTTCCATTTCCTCATCTAAATGAGAGTAATAAACGTAGGTTCTACCTTAGGAGGTTATAGTTAGCATTTTGTAAAAGTGTTTGGTACATATGGAGGTGTAGTCGTATTGGCTAATGGTTTGATTAAGCAGCATACCAATTTAAAAGCATATTTTAAAGTATATCTTTCATTTGAAAGCAATATACTATGACAAGATAATAAAAATGGGAAGGAAAAACCCACAGTTTGGATTTTTCTAAAAGGAAAAAGCCATGCCCCTCACTGCCACCTTAGATAGATTCACTCACTCATTTTTTTCCTGTCTTTGGGCTTAGTCTATGGACTTTAGTGTAAGATAAGAACAGAACTCCTGCTTTCCTGAACTGTCCCAAGTAACCAGGCCCTAAACACACCTGCTTCTTCATACTGCACACTGCTATGAATATATAAAATAGCATCCTGATATGTCCTGGAGATTCAGCCTTTATTATTTTGCAGAAAATCTCTAATTGGGCAACTTACTATCCAAAGTATTAATATCCACAAGGATCATACAATCTTATTAAAAATTATTTTATTGATTTCTATCTTTCCACCTGTGCTTGTCACCTGAGAAGCAGATGCCAGATTGGTAATTACATGTATAAAGGATTTCTTGGAGAAAACATCTGTGAGGAAAAATCACCAGGAGGGAGTTAGAAGGGATCAGGAGAATTATCAGACAAAGATGTAGGTATAATTCCCGTAAAAGAAAGAAAAAAGCAAGGAAAGTTGAGTAGGAGAAGTTGTGCAACTCTAAGACTGTTTCCACAAAGCTAATGGGGAGCACTTGAGCCAAAGCCATTCATTATTGGAATCTTATATTTCCTTAAATAAGGCCTCGCCTAGACTCCCTGTTGTATTTAATCATTGGCTATGAGCACCTGGTGGGAGGCATGGCCTCTAATCAAACATATCCCTGGATTTCCTAGTATATCAGCTGGGCCCATCTTTCAATTATGCTCCCTTCAATGGGAGACAGAGAATACTTAATGACCACCAAACGACCTGATGCTTGAGTCTCTTCTACACTATCTCCTCTCTGCAATGCTAGAGTTCCATCACCCCCTCTGCTGAGGTACCAGTTTAGCATTTACCCTTTGTTCCCTCTCTCTGCCTTTTAATCTATCTCAAATAATACCCAGATCATCCCTTATGCTGTTGAATGTATCACAATAAATTCCAAAGACAACAGCAATGTTTAAATTATTTTTTGTTTAGAATTAACTATTAATCAAGAGATATAGAACATAAATAATAATTCCCAGAGCAAGCACAGTCTCCAGTTGTTATTAATCTTTGCCAAGACTGATAAATGATTGACTAATTACATGAAATATTATAGACTCAGGAAAGCAGAGCAGAATGTTAAAACAGGGCTTAAGCAACGGTCTGCATTAATATTGTGTTTTGTTCACTTATGCTGCTTGTGATCTGATTGTAAAAACAAATCAGCATTTAGATATTCCAAAGTTTCTCCGAACCTATAAAAAATACTGTTTAGTTGTATTTTTTATTCATTAGCGTTTATAATGTAAACAATTATTTAAAATGATAATCAATGATGATAATAAAATCATTTTCAAAACAGATTTACAGCAAAGGGCATTAGACATTATAAATCAGTGACAATAATCAATTTACCATGCTTCCAAATGTACATAGGCTAAACTTTTCTCATGAACATTTCAAAACATTCAAATTTGGTATAATTTTGTAACAAGTTATAATAATTTATGAAAATGACAATTGGTAGTCAGCCACTTTCTAGGGAAACAAAAAGAGAAACTCAGAGCTAAGCTTAGAGTGCTTTGCAGTTAGTTTTATTAATTCCATTTGCCTAAATAAGGTAAAGATTTGCCTTTTTTTTTTCTAGAGTGATTTAATCAGTTCAAGCTGCTATAACAAAATACTATACATTGGGTGGCTTAAACAACATAAATTTATTTCTTACAGTGCTAGAGGCCGAGAAGTCCAAGATCAAAGTTCCCAAAAAGTAGGTTTTATTCTGAGATCTCTTCTCTTGGCTTGTAGGCAGGCACTGGTATCTCACTGCTCAAATGACCTCTTTGTACACACCCACAGAAAGACAGAGAGAGAACAAACTCTCTGGTGTCTCTCCTTTACAGACGCTACATGAGGGCCCCACCCTCATGACATCATTTAACTCTAATCATCTCCCAAAGGCCCCTCTCCAAATACTGTCACATGTGTGATTAGGGCTTCAACATGTGAATGTGGGGGTGGGGGCACACAAACATTCAGTCTATACCATAGAGGAACTGCCATAGCCTCGGATCTCAATCTGTAACACAGCACAAATTCACAACATGATCAAATGACAATATTTCCCAGGTCAATGGGAGGTACACTCTTTTCCCTCTGCAGTTGCTCTTTGCAAATTCTCCCATGGTTCCCCAGGGTTCTTTACAAAGATCAGCGTTTCATTCCTCCTTTGTACTGAAAACTGTCTGCTAAGAGATTGGGATTTCAAGGATATTCTTTAAAGCCAGTTGATGCAATAGTGACCTCCTGTCTGTTGGTCTTGATTACTTCCAGGGCCACCATGACCAAATTGGAATCCTGGGTTACTGATTAAACCATTATAGCAAGAAGCAATGCCCCATATTTAGTACAGCATCACTGCAGTCCCAGTGCCATCTTGCTGTCACCACGGTGCTGATGTGAAGCTCTGCTGATTCTCCCAGGATTCTGTGAGTAACTCTAGTGTCAAACTCAGTCAGTAACATCCTACAGCAAAAATTACCTGAACCCCAGCTATCACAGCTTTCATCCACACATGTGCAGGTGTACACATGCATGTGCATGCGTGCACACAAGCACACGCACACACACACACACACACACACAGCTGTTTTCTCAACAAGATGCCTAGGATGACATCACCAGGTACTTGCAAGGCAGAGCCCAAACTACTTCTGCCCTAATACATGGCTGGTATAGAGTGTTAAGCACAAGTCCAGACTTTTCCTCCCTTATAGTGAAGCTTACCTCTGAGGTTTTATTTTGCTTCTGTATGTCTTAGGCTCCTCCTGTTTAATCCTATAGATTTCAGTACACTTAAAATTTCAGAGAGAGGCTGGGCACAGTGGGATTAACTCACTGGGCACAGTGAGACTGTAATCCCAGCACTTTGGGAGGACGAGGGAACGGATCACCTGAGGTCAGGAGTTCAAGACCAGCCTGGCCAACATGGCGAAACCCCATCTCTACTAAAAATACAAAAATTAGCCTGGTGTGGTGGCTTGCGCTGTAATCCCAGCTACTCGGGAGGCTGAGGAAGGAGATTTGCTTGCACCCAGGAGGTGAAGTTTGCAGTGAGCCAAGATTTGTGCCACTGCATTCCAGCCTGGGTGACAGAGCGAGACTTTGTTTCAAAAAAAAAAAAAAATTCAGAATCTTTTGACAAAGTTTGTCTGATTCCACCTTCAGCCAGAAGTTTCTATTATATTCTTCATAACGAAATGAATACATTACTTATATCAACTTGATGTAAGACATATCAACATAGACAGATAGATGATAGATATAGATTAGATAGATAGATAGATAGATAGATAGATAGATAGATAGATGATAGATAGATATAGCTAGATGATAGATGTGGGTTCTTAATTTGAAAATTTAATATGATAAAAAACACTGCATTATATGAACCAAAAAGTAATAATGACACAGCCTTATTGTAGTCCTTGATGCCCTAGAGAAGTAGCTTTGATACCCTGGACCTCTTTGCCTCTAACTCCCACATTATTGCTACATTACAAAGTTGAAATACAAATAAATAGAAATCATGACACTTCTATTTTGATATGTGTTTTCCACCAATTTGCTTTGAATTCTTCATTCGCAGGGGAAAATTCTAAACTCACTGAGTCTTAGAATCAATAGGTCTGACTTTTTGAGAAAGCTTTCTAAGTTAAAGATACCCACAGGCAAGTATCTGAGCTCCAAAGGAATGTACTCTTCTGGCTCAAATATTGCCTTGCAATGCTTCTGCCTAGTATCTAAGGGAATAGTTCCCCTACTCAATACCAGGCACTGAAATTCCTTCATGGCCCAAAGCCCAAAAAGAAGCTGAGAGGTATGGGGTCAAAAGCAAGTGGAGATCTGGAGATGAGGCTGATGAAGCAATGCTCTGCAGGAGACCCATGCGTCTTTGTCTTTGCCCTATGGAGCATGGTCGTCAGGAAGAAGGTTCTAGGTGAAAAACTGTCCTTCAGTACTTGTCACTTAAAATTAAATGTGGCAAGTCCCACCAGGCTTTTGTTAAAAAACCTAATGATGCATTTCCATTTTCAGTTTTATTTCTTCCTCCTGAACCATTGGCATTTCTTTAACATCAATCAGGTGGAGGTTGCTGTGAACTTTCCCTGTTTGAACTCAGTCAATTCTGAATTTGTTTTCTAGGTAGTCTAATTTTATCATTAAAAACACTTTAGCTCTGAAATTAAAGCTAAGTTATATCAGGTTTCTTGGGAATCTGAAATGTATGCCATATTGGCCTCCTTAAGTTTTATTTCTTAATATGAAAATAAAATCTCACATTTTAAACTTTAAGAAGAGAGAGTACACAGGCTTTGGGAATTCAACAGCATCTAGTCACAGCAGCAATACTTGTAGCAGCAAATTTGTAGATACAATGGCATGAAAGTTCAACTGCTTATTACTCTCATTAATCTTTACTCTTACTTTTGCTGTCTTTATGCCTCTGACTGTCTCGTTGTCCTCACTGGAGTAATGCCAAGCTAGTATCCAGTTTCAAAGTTCACATGTTGGCCTCATTTCCTAAACTGTAGGCCCTTCCAGGATAGAGGCCACATCCTCTTGTCTATAGCTCTGTAGCACCTAGCATAATTCCTGGGACATTGTAGGTGATCCAAAAGTATTTAATTTTTAGAAATCAATTTTAAAAGACTTGCCAAACCTCCATTTAAACTGCTTCCTGGAGGCAACAATGCAGAATTCCTGGTCCAGGTGTCAGCATTTACCTGTGACTAATCTGATAACGGTGTGCTGACCATGCCTTGGCCTTCTGCCTGGGTTGGGTACAGTGGGAGTAGGGGGACCCATGAAATCTTAGACTCCTCATGACATGCTGCAACTGAGTATTTGAGGGGTGTAGGCATAGATGTCCCCGTTTTGATCTCCCAATGGAGAAGTATATAGCTTGTTATATTGTCATTAGGGATCTGATGTGGTCTGCCCACATTAGGGTGAAGGTATAGCTCATGTAAATGGTGAGAATTCAGTGTCATTTTGAGTAATTTTAAGTAATTATGTTACTTGAACACTTAACATTTCTGAACCTTAGCTTCTTATCTGCAAAATGAGTAAAATAATATCTTCTTTTCTCTGGATTTTTATGTATCTGATGTAAAATAATACAGAAACGCTTTGCAGATCATAAAATCCTATTCAAACATAAGATATCAGTATCACTATCTTATCTATAGTAAGCCTGTGAGTGGTAAGGCTTCTGAAATTTTCTATCAGAGACTTCAGCAAAACAGGTAACTAGGTATAAATTATGCAAGAATTTGGATAATTTTGTAGTAAATTTGGAAATAAATGCAAACTCCACCAGTTGCAGAATAAGAGCACATGTTAGCATTTGGGTTACATGTTGAAGTGCAAGTGAAGTAAGTACTCCCAGAAAATGAGGCAATGATAGAGACCAATATCTGAACTACCTGACTCCAGTTAAAATACCAATAACTTTTTTCAAAGAAAAACTTCTACCTTCAAAACCACAACTGCTTACCACAGGATGATATGACTTAGAAGACCATAAAATAAGAGCTGATGTTTTGTCTTTATATGCAATGAAAAATGACAGAATTGCAATGGGGGCAGCCCTAGGAATCACACCCCTCAGAAATATTCAGGAGCCCCAAATAATCACGGATGCCACTAAAAACAGGAAATGTCCTCATATAAAAGATGCAACAGCCCCTGTGGCATCCTCAGACTCACTGATGCCCAGACGAATCCTTCCCTCATCCAGAGTCAGGCTTGCAGCAACTGCAATCAAGCCTTCTCACAACTATCCCCCACTTCCCTCTACTTCTTGCCTTTAACAAGTGTTCAACCTGTCCCCCTACCATATGAATTGTTTTCCATGAGGATTTCTTATACTTAGATCTCTATACATAAAGATCAAGAAATTATAATTTGTAACAAAGCATACTCTGCATTCTCAAGCTTAGTTAACAGAAAACAGTATTGAAATATACATGCCATATGAAGTACTTCATTTGTGTTGACAAAGGGTAATATCATAAACTATTTAATCATAAAGAGACTTCGCTTTTCAGGTCAAGTGCTGTGTAGTTTTTTTTTTTTTTTTTTGATATTTCTCTACTTAAAATGACAGTGGAATTACACTAACTCATCAAGACTAGAAACCTAGAAATAAAGCAAAAAGCTCCATAACTTTGTTGGAAGTTATCTTTCTGCACACTAAACAAATTACCCAAATGTTTCATTCTTTGATTACAAAATCATTTTTCCTAAGTAAATTTTCTCTGAGTGTTAAGATGTACCTCCAACAGGAGTATCAATAAAGTGCCTAAGAATCTAGGGTTCTAGGGTTTTTATGTGTGATTAGATTTCTCTTCTTCTATGGCCTTCCTGAGCTAAAATATAGTTCAGGAGACCTGTCCTTGTTTCTGACCCAAAATTTTCTTGCATTGTGAAAGAATAGCTCAGCTTTTCTGTTAGCCAACAATCTGCAGCTCTTTCAAGACTGCAACTCTCCCTAGGATTTTTTTCACAGGATCTGAATGCAGGTATACATTCACTCTGGCTCTTCCTTTTTCGTTATTCAGACATTCTCAAACTATATATTTTATTTTATTTTTTTTGCCAAAGGAATGAATGAACAGGTAATATAGAGAATTATAATGAGACATGAGATCACATTCTTAAATATCTTTGTCATCTAAAATAAAGACAGCAGTCTACCGCTTGTTTTGCTCACCATTGTATCTCTGGAAAATATTATAGACTTTGGCACATAGGGAGCCCTCATTATTTATCAAATGAATGAATGAATGAATGGTATAAGAAAATGGCACGTGCTTAGGAAAAGAAAACACTCCACCTCTTGTGATCATTTACTGCCCTTATCAGGGAACCATGAGTCACACTTTGGGTGAACTCTCCTCAATTAAGACCCCCAAGCACATCTGGGAAAAATTAAAATCTAACATTACCTTATTTTATTTATTCCAAAATGAAGTGACAGAAATAGGTTACATATACGGAAATACACAAGAAGCAACACATTATATACAGCATGTGAATATAAAGAATCTTGATATACCACCTTTCCTTAAATGCAATCCTTACCATTCATAGGCTCTGGAAAATCATAGCAATGAGAAGATTTTTTACTTCGAGCATACTCACTGATTAGCTCTGCTGCATCCCCTACTTCCAGAATGCAGGCTTGACATGCCTTCACCTGCGTGCTCTACTTAGTGGACTCCCTCAAGTGAGCCATGGGCACAATCTTAACATTGGAAGAACCATGGAAGTGTCCACATTTCTATTACTTCTTCAGTGCTACACTATTTTCTTTTGGAGGGGGAGGGACTTTCATTCAAGCTCACTAATATGAGGATCCTGACACATAATTCAGTCCAAACACTTGCTAGAGGCACTGTATGTTTTTTTCTGATTGATGTCAGGTTCCACTGAATTGTAAAAACAGAGAGAGCTTCCCAGTGCAGGGACAGGCATCATTGTCGATAATGGAAGATGCTCATGAGTAAACTCCTGAGAGAAAAAACACACAACACATTTAGAGAAAGGCGAGAAACATCTTTCAGTTGGAGGTTGGGGTATTCTGTGAAAGAAGAATTGATGTGTGAACAGATAGGTTTGGGTGAGACCAATCTGCTTTTCTTTTTTTTTTCCTTGATGTAGTGAAGTCATCCCATATCAGTGTCTTTGCTGTTTCTTCTTTTTGGAATGATATTTATCTACATTATTGCATGACTGATTTTTTATTTTACAATTACAGATACAACTCAAATGTTCTCTCCTCAGAGATCCTTCCTTGACTATCTATTTAAATTACCTCCTATGTCATTATGAAACATTAGCCTATTCTATAGTCTTCATAGAACTAATGGTATTTTTTTCTTTTTTTAAATTATACTTTAAGTTTTAGGGTACATGTGCACAACGTGCAGGTTTGTTGCATATGTATACATGTGCCATGTTGGTATGCTGCACCCATTAACTTGTCATTTAACATTAGGTGTATCTCCTAATGCTATCCCTCCCCCCTCCCCCCTCCCCCCACCCCACAACAGGCCCCAGTGTGTGATGTTTCCCTTCCTGTGTCCAAGTGTTCTCATTGTTCAATTCCCACCTATGAGTGAGAACATGTGGCATTTGGTTTTTTATCCTTGTGACAGTTTGCTGAGAATGATGGTTTCCAGCTTCATCCATGTCCCTACAAAGGACATGAACTCATCATTTTTTATGGCTGCATAGTATGCCATGGTGTATATGTGCCACATTTCCTTAATCCAGTCTATCATTCTTGGACATTTGGGTTGGTTCCAAGTCTTTGCTATTGTGAATAGTGCTGCAATAAAGATACATGTGCACGTATCTTTATAGCAGCATGATTTATAATCCTTTGGGTATATACCCAGTAATGAGATGGCTGGGTCAAATGGTATTCCCAGTTCTAGATCCCTGAGGAATCACCACACTGACTTCCACAATAGTTGAACTAGTTTACAGTCCCATCAATGTGTAAAAGTGTTCCTATTTCTCCACATCCTCTCCAGCACCTGTTGTTGCCTGACTTTTTAATGATTGCCATTCTAACTGGTGTGAGATGGTATCTTACTGTGGTTTTGATTTGCATTTCTCTGATGGCCAGTGATGATGAGCATTTTTTCATGTGTCTTTTGGCTGCATAAATGTCTTCTTTTGAGAAGTGTCTGTTCATATCCTTTGCCCACTTGTTGAAGGGGTTGTTTGTTTTTTTCTTGTAAATTTGTGGGAGTTCATTATAGATTCTGGATATTAGCCTTTTGTCAGGTGAGTAGATTGCAAAAATTTTCTCCCATTTTGTAGGCTGCCTGTTCACTCTGATGGTAGTTTCTTTTGCTGTGCAGAAGCTCTTTAGTTTAATTAGATCACATTTGTCAATTTTGGCTTTTGTTGCCATTGCTTTTGGTGTTTTAGACATGAAGTCCTTGCCCATGCCTATGTCCTGAATGGTATTGCCAAGGTTTTCTTCTAGGGTTTGTATGGTTTTAGGTCTAACATTTAAGTCTTTAATCCATCTTGAATTAATTTTTATATAAGGTGTAAGGAAGGGATCCAGTTTCAGCTTTCTACATATGGCTAGCCAGTTTTCCCAGCACCATTTATTAAATAGGGAATCCTTTCCCCATTTCTTGTTTTTGTCAGGTTTGTCAAAGATCTGATAGTTGTAGATGTGTGGTATTATTTCTGAGGGCTCTGTTCTGTTCCATTGTTCTATATCTCTGTTTTGGTACCAGTACCATGCTGTTTTGGTTACCGTAGCCTTGTAGTATAGTTTGAAGTCAGGTAGCATGATGCCTCCATCTTTGTTGTTCTGGCTTAGGATTGACTTGGCAATGTGGGCTCTCTTTTCTTTCCATATGAACTTTAAAGTATTTTTTCCAATTCTGTGAAGAAAGTCATTGGTAGCTTGATGGGGATGGCATTGAATCTATAAATTACCTTGGGCACTATGGCCATTTTCACAATATCATACTGAATGTGCAAAAACTGGAAGTATTCCCTTTGAAAACTGGCACAAGACAGGGATGCCCTCTCTCACCACTCCTATTCAACATAGTGTTGGAAGTTCTGGCCAGGGCAATCAGGCAGGAGAAGGAAATAAAGGGTATGCAATTAGGAAAAGAGGACATCAAATTGTCCCTGTTTGCAGATGACATGATTGTGTATCTGGAAAACCCCATCATCTCAGCCCAAAATCTCCTTAAGCTGATAAGGAATTTCAGCAAAGTTTCAGGATACAAAATCAATGTGCAAAAATCACAAGCATTCTTATACACCAATAACAGACAAACAGAGAGCCAAATCATGAGTGAACTCCCATTCACAATTGCTTCAAAGAGAATAAAATACCTAGGAATCCAACTTACAAGGGATGTGAAGGACCGGGACAACTACAAACCACGGCTCAACGAAATAAAAGAGGATACAAACAAATAGAAGAACATTCCATGCTCATGTGTAGGAAGAATCAATATTGGTATTTTTTTCTTAATTGTTGCCATCTCTCTACGCCATAACGTATACACTCTTTCCATTCACCTCCTTTTTTTTCACTGCTAGATCAGCAGCACCTAGAATAGCTCTTGGCCAAGAGTAACTGTGTGGCCACCTTACTGATACAAGTAAAGGGCTTGTAATACCAAGGCATTTCTGGTGGACAAAACGGATCTACTGGAATTTTTTCAGCTATGGGAGAACAGAGGTCCAGAATTGGGCCTCAGAGAAATTATGTTTGTGGCAACATGCAGTCTGGAACTGAAAAGAGAGATCCTGGGTCAGAAAGACTAAAAATAAGATGTTTTAAATGTATGTGTGGCTGTGTGGGTGTTTGTGTATATATATATATATATATATATATATATATATATATATATATATATATATATACACACACATACATGTAATTTCTATATGGTTTTGCTGATATTGCTTTAATTTTTATTTATTTGTACAATATATTAGCTGTTTAAACTATAAACATGTTTTAAGCTAAAGTAAATCTATCCTTTAAGACCTGTTAAACTTGATAGATTATACATATTTCCGAACTCAGCTATTAGTATTGTTCGTTGTTGCTTTTTGGTGGCTTAAGGTTATCAGCACATCTCTGTATAAATGAAGACAACTACTAACCAAAGCACCTAAGCATTTTAACCCAGACAATATAAAAAGCCTCATAATTCAGAATTTACTGTAATTATTGCAGTTAATAAATAGTAAAGGCTATTTAAAGACTTCCTGTCTTGAGATGGTATGCCCTTGTATTCCAAAAACTTAATAAGGGATAATAATAATGATTAGGATAATGATAATCACATTAAGATCATGAAAGTATGTTTAAAAAGCTTAAAACGAGATTCCTGCAGAGATGATAAAAAGGGTTCTCTAAGACTAAGTTGAGAATTGAATTTCCACATAGTCCAATTAATTTCACACAGAGGAAAGGCAAAAAAATAACGATTACATGGATCCATGCCATACTCTCAATCCTGTGTAGCAACCACAACAAATCAACAATATAATTATTCAGTACCTAATGTGTTAGATGCTGATGGTCACATACAATTTGCAAATACATGCCACTGGACAAGTAGAAAACCAGATATATCAGTGCCAACTGCAACCTCTGGCAAATGTCAGAAAAAAAAGTCACTCTGAGCAAGATCATCTTTTTTTTTAATTCAAGAGTTGGGTGCTGTTTTTATCTCTTATGACTTCTCTATATTACTTGCAGTAAAACTTAAGGAAAAATTGTAATAATGTGTCCCCACATCTTATTTTTATCAGATGGCCCTCATCTGACCTCCCCTTCAATTCTGCAGAGTATATTTAAAAGGCAGATCTGATGGTAACTCTCCACTACTAATAAACAGTTAGTAGCTCTCAAGAATCAACTGAAGAAGACCAACCTTCTAAACCTTGCTTTTAACATTCTCTATTGCTAGTGCCTTGCTTAATTCTCGCTTAATAATGTATCAGTACTAACTGTTTATAGTAGAGACAATTGCTTGCCTCTACTCATGCTGCCCAAAATGCCCACCTTGCTTATTCTACCTTCTTACTTCCTCTGTTTGCTAAATCTTACTTTATCTTCAAGATAAAGTTACACATCATCTCCTTAAGGATACCTTCCCCATATCTTGAGCCTTAGTTAACTGTCTTTAGTTGATAATTCCATGCACTCTGTGGATGCTTCTATTCCATTTACAATTGACTTCATTCATATCCAGTTACATCACTTTACCTAATTTCAGAATCACATCTGTCGTCACTTTATTCCAAAAGTGTATCCATTCTCACCACTTCTTTCAAATGGCTGAATGACAACAAAAATTGATGCTAAATGTAAATCACCATTTAAATGTTGCTATGTTGCTTGACTAGGTGCAATATATAGTTGAAACTTCTGTAATTTTTATTAAAATAATAAATTATAAAATATAAAGCTGCAGAAAACTCCATGTTGTAAATATAAACAGATCAACATAAATTTTTACAAATTGAAGATACCCATGTAATTATCACATAGATCAAGATATTGAGGTATAAAATATTTTCGGCACCACAGAAACCTAATCCTGGACCTCCCTCTCATAATCATTAATTCCTGCTGAAATTTTGCATGATGTTTAACTTTATATAAATGAAATAACACAACTCTGTTGTATTTGGATTAATTCCCTCAAGTTTGGGTTTATGAGATTTGCCCGTGGCCCCCGTGTAGAAATAGTTTATTATTTTACAGAGCTGTTTAGTATTCCCTTATATGAATATAATACAGTTTGCATATTCTTTGGTTGATGGTTATTTGGTTTCTTTACAGTTTGTGGCTAGTGAGAAGAATCAATCTCTGCACATTTTTGTACTTGTCTTTTGGTACAAATATGTATGCATTTCTGCTGGGTATATGCCTAGGAGTATAAAGTCAGGTCACATGATATGCATATGTTAATCTTTATTAGATACTGCCAAACAGTTTTTCAGACCGGTTATGTCAATTTACAGTTTTCTTTTTTTGTTTGTTTCTTTTTTTTTTTTGAGACGGAGTTTCACTCTTGTTGCCCAGGCTGGAGTGCAATGGTGCGATCTTGGCTCACCGCAGCCTCTACCTCCCAGGTTCAAGCAATTCTCCTGCCTCAGCCTCCTGGGTAGCTGGGATTACAGGCATGCACCACCATGTCTGGCTAATTTTGTATTTTTAGTAGAGACAGGGTTTCTCCGTGTTAAGGCTGGTCTCGAACTCCTGACCTCAGGTGATCTGCCTGCCTCGGCCTCCCAAAGTGCTGGGATTACAGGCATGAGCCACCGTGCCTGGCCTGTCAATTTACAGTTTTCACAGGTAGTGTATGAGAGTTCCGCTTGATCTACATCTTCACCACCAGTTGCTGTTTTCAGTCACTGATTGATTGATTTATGCATTTTATTGTAGTTTAAATTTGCAATTCCCTGATGACAAATTACGTTTTGTACTTTTTTAAAACTGTTAATGTTCACTTACGTGTCCTTGTTTTAAAGTCCCTAACAGGTCTTTTGTCCACTTTTAATCATGTGACTAGGTTTTTCTTATAGACTCCAGGAATTATATATTCTGCATATGAATCCTTTATGAAATAAGTGAATTGCAATTATTTTCTCTTACTCAGTGGTTCCCATTTTCATTCCCTTAATGCTGTCTTTTAATGAATACTTTTGTTTTAATGTAAACCAACTTATCAATCTTTTCCTTTGTGGTTAGTGGGGGATGTGTGGTGTGTTTGTGTATGTGTGTGTGTTTGTGTGTGTGTGTGTGTGTGTGTTTCTTCTGAATACTTCTAAGATTTTCTCTGTTTTCTGCTTTAGCGGTTTTCCTAAAGTGTGCCTAGATCTTTTACTTTGAATTTATTCTGCTTGGGTTTCATAAGACTTCTTGAATATGTGCCTCAATGCCTTTTACTTATTTTTGAAAATGATTGGTCAGTACTACATAAAATCTTGCTTCTGCTGATTCTGCTCTTCTCTTTTGGAATATATATATATATATATATATATATATATATATATATATATGAATTTCTATTCTTATCTGTATTTTCCATACTTTTATTCTTTAAGCTACAGCCCGAATGTTTTCTGCTGGCCCGTCTTCTAGTTCATTAATTCTAACTCTCTTGTCTTGCCATGGTAAATACTTACATTAAGTTGTTGATATCTTACTATCCATTGTTGGATTTTTCTGTTCCAGAATTGGAATTGGAATTTTAAAATAGATTCTATCTCTGTGGTAAAATTATTCATATATCATATATTTTCTTGAATATCTTATCATATTAACTTTAAAACCCAAGACAGATTATCACCAAAAACTGGGTTATTTATATGTTTGTTACTATTGTCTGCTTTTCTTTCAGATATATTTCTTAGACTCAGTAATTTTTTTCAATTTCTTAAAACTATTAAAAAGTATAGATACTTTGCATGATTTATCTTTCCAGAGTAATTTTTAGTAAAGTAAAATTTATTTTTATCCTGTCTTCTCTTTGGATGCCTGAGTTAGGGACAAACATTTTTAACATCCAACCATACTGAATTGTCTTGAATGTGAGTTGGCATTTGTGTAAGCCTGGATATTCTCTTGTTCCCTCACTAA
The DNA here is from genome assembly GCF_000001405.40 of Homo sapiens. NCBI lineage: Eukaryota > Metazoa > Chordata > Mammalia > Primates > Hominidae > Homo > Homo sapiens. The sequence goes on from NC_000007.14 coordinate 89,366,018, forward strand.
GAATCCCAACTGAAAACTGGAATGTATATGGGATCCTCTTCCTTGTCAGGGCCTCAACAAAATTTATACATCTTCAACACCATGACCTAATTTAAAGAAACAAAAAGGATTATAAGAGAATACTGTAAGTCAACAAATTTGATAACTTAGATAAAATGGTTAAATTCCTAGGAGGACACAAACTACTAAAACTGATACAAGAACAAATACAAAATCTGAAAAGACCTATAACTAGTAATTAGAGTAAATTAGTAATTTATTTTAAAATTTATTTTTTTAAATTGACAAATAACATTGTTTTTTAATTATTTACAACATTTTTGAAGGTATATATAAATTGTGGAGTGGTTAAACCTAGCTAATTAACAAGTACATTACCTCACATAGTAATCATTTTTATGATAATAGCACACAACATTCTTTTTAGATTTTTCAAGAATACAATGCACTATCATGAATTATAGTATTCTTGCTGTACAATAGTTCTCTTGGGATTTAAAAACTTCGCACGCACACACACACATATCAAAATTCAGGCTTTACTATAATCTACAAATACTTAAAAAAGTAATACCTACACTTCACAAACTCTTCCAAAAAACAAGAGCGAAGGAAAACTTTCTCTTTATTCTAGAAGGCTAGTGTTAGCCTGATTATCAAGTCAGGCAAAGGTACCACTAGAAAGGAAAACTATAGACCAATATGACTTATGAACATAGATGCAAAAATTTTCAATAAAATATAGCAACTTGACTCCAGAAACATACAAAAAGAGATTATACACCATGACCAAGTGAGATATAGCCCAGGAATGTAAGACTGGTTTAACATCTGAAAATCAGTGAAAATGATGTACCATGTTAATAAAATAAAGGACAAAAAATCACATTATCATCATAGTAGAAATAGGAGAAGCATTCACAAAATCTAATATACTTTCATGATAATACTCAACAACTTAAGAATAGAAGGAAACTTCCTGAAGCTGATAAAGGGCACATGAAAAAAAACCCACAGATAACATCATACTTAATGGGGAAAAATTGAATATATTCTTCTAAAATCGAGAAGAAAATAAGGATGTCCATACTGACTGCTTCTATTCAACACTACACTGTGATTCTAGCCAGAGATATTAAGCAAGAAAATAAATAAAAACCATACACATTGGAAAAGAAGAAGTAAAACTATGTCTTCATTTGTTTTGTGTTTCTACAACATCTGAGACTGAGAAATTTATAAAGAAAAGAAATGTATCTGGCTCACAATTTTGGAGGCTGGAAAGTCCAGAGGCATGGAACCAGCATCTGCTTGTCATCTGGTGAGGGCCATATTGCTGTGTCATTCCAATGACAGAAGATGGAAGAGCTACTGAATGCATGAGACAGAAAGAGAAAGAGGGCCAAAGTCATCCTTTTTCTTATGAACTCACTTTTATGATAACTAACCCCCTCCCTGATAACAGTAATGACATTAATTCATTCATAAGGGCTGCCCTTATGATCTAATCCCCTTCTTAAAGGACTCACCTCTTAATATCACAATGGCAATGAAATTTCAACATTAATCTTGGAGGGGACATTCAAACCACAGCACTATTTTTATTGACAGATGGCATCATTTGGTATAAAGAAACTTCTAAGAAATCACACAGACACGCAGACACACACACACACACACTACTACCCCTAATAAAGGAGGATAGTAAGATTATATGATACAAGATGAACAAAATCAATTGTATTTCTACATGCTAGCAGTGAAAAATCTGAGAATAAAATTAAAGAAACACCTCATTTATAATAATATTAAAATAAAAACTTAGAAATAAAATAAACATAAGAAGTGAAAGAATTGTATGCCAAAATTATACATTATTTAAAGAAACTTAATAAGATCAAAAAAGGAAAAACATCCCATGCTTATAGATAAGAAAGGTAAGTTTTTGTTTTTTTTTTTTTTGAGACGAAGTTTTGCTCTTGTTGCCCAGGCTGGAGTGCAATGGCATGATCTCAGCAGCTCACTGCAACCTTCACCTCCCAGGTTCATGCAATTGTTCTGCCTCAGCCTCCCGAGTAGCTGGGATTATAGGTGCCCACGACCGCGCACAGCTAATTTTTGTATTTTTAGTAGAAACAAGGTTTCACCAAGTTGATTAAGCTGTTCTCGAACTCCTGACCTCAGGTGATCCACCCCCCTCAGCCGCCCAAAGTTCTTGGATTACAGGCATGAGCCACTGCGCCCGGCCAAGAAATCTTAATAGAAGATGGTAATACTCCTCAAATTGATCTGCAGATTCAATGCAATGCCTATCAAAATCTCAACTTGCTTTTTTGCAAAAATTGACAAGATTATTTTAAATTTTAACACTATGAGCTTGCCAAAATCTTTATTCTGTTTTTCAATATCTTTCTGCTTTTAGCATGTTAGTCACCTTCTGCAAAGTTTCAGAATGTCTTAAATGTCCTGATGGGGGATATACAAGAATAATGTTCAATTTGTTGTTCATCTCTACTCACCAATATATTCACCCTCAAACTTCTAGCAAACTGGGAATTCCAAACTCCATTTTTTTATCTCACCAGTTTCAAGAGATTTTCACATGCTCTACTGGCTTTTTTCCCCCTTAGCCTTGTCCCTCTGACTCATGACCCATTCCAAAATCAACAAATTCCCTGAAGGGTAAGGTAACACACAGAATGCTAGCTTACCTCTCTGCAGATTTTTCTCTCCATTACTTTAACTCATGAGATCTCGTGTCTCAGGAGCTCTCCAATGCCTTGTTTTTGGTTTTGTATGCCTTTCCTAGTTTCCTCAGCAAAAGTGATGGTTCAGGACTAATTTCTCTGTTCTGAAGTGAAATAGAGTTCTCAATTTTCTTTCTTAAAAATGTATTTCTTTTCAGTTATAATTCTCCTACTTATCATCACTGGCTATATTTCAGTTTCCTTTCCTAGTCCCTCTTATTAACCTGTACAATTTTACTGTTTCAAGAATCTTCCCTGAATTTTTTTTCTTTTTTATGTGCATTTCTAAGCAGCTTTACCCAGTCTCATGGCTTGAAATCCTGTTTATGAGCAAATGTCTCCCAAATTCTTATTTCCCATCCTGATCACCCTCTCAAAGCCTAGACAACTATATCAACCTTCTACTTGTTATGTTCACTGAGAGAGTTTACTTGGCATCTTAGTCTTATTAAGATGGAAATGAGAAATCTCAAATTCATAAATCTCAAAGCTGTTACTTCTACCATTTTACTCATCTCAGTAAAAGGCACCAAAATCCACTCAATTGTGTTAGCCAAAATTCCAGGTTTTCTTGAGTGACTTTTCTCACCTTCTACATTGATGGCATCAGGTTCAGTAAGCTCTCCCATTAAAATGTGACCCAGTCTATTCAATGTATCCATCTCCACTATTACTACCTAGTCCAATCCACTCATATGTTGCCTGCATTATTAGGGTCACCAGTCTCATTGCTTCTGTTCTTGCATAAACCCGTCACCACCATTATCATTTTCTCATGGCAAGCAGAGTGATTTTTTTTATATATTAGGTGGTTATATCACTCTTGTATTTGAAACCCTCCAAATGCTTGAAAACAGGTAAAATCATAACCCTAGTTAATACACTTTTAAAAGGTTCTGCCTATGACTTCCTTTTTTTCAGTTTTTACCAGCCTTGTATTTGTCCTTCCCTCCAGCCAAACTCACCTTCTTTTTTTTTTTTGAAAGATAATTCAGTAGTTACTGCCCGGTACTTTTAAACAATTTGTTCTTTTTGATAAACTCAACACTCCTCCTTCATTAACAAACACGTGAAATATAAACAGTGTATACTTCCTTTACTAGTATGTATGTTTGTGTTTTTACATTTATTCCTAAAGCCAGCATTATTTTTTTAATAGTCAAACATTGGAATATTTCCATCAATTCAGGAATAAGAAAAAAATATCTATTTTCTTTACGATATTTAACATTGTTATAGAAGTACTGGCCAAATAAATTTCAACGTAGAATTAAATAAAAGGCACAAATATTGGAAAATAAGATTTAAACAGTTTTATTTGCCAGAAATATGATTTTATACACATTGAATCCAAGAGCATCAAATAGCCATCAGAACTAAATGAGAATTAGTTATTTAATTGGTTAAAGATTAACATGTTTAAATCCACAGGTTTCCTTTCTGAAAATTATAATAATTTAGAAAATATTATGAATAGTTATGACATTTGCATTGCTAAACATATACCTCAGGATAAAGTGAACAAAAATTTCAATACCCATATCAGGAAAAATTTAAAACTCTACTGAAGTGTACCAAAGGCATCTTGAGGAAATTGAGAGGCATGCTTTTCTTAGGCAGAAAGAGCAATATGATTACGTCAATTATTTATAAAGCAGTCACGGCTGGGCGCGGTGGCTCATGCCTGTAATCCCAGCACTTTGGGAGGCCGAGGCGGGTGGATGATCTGAGGTTGAGACCAGCCTGGCCAACATGGCGAAACCCCGTCTCTACTGAAAATCCAAAAATTTAGCCGGGCTTGGCGGCAGGCGCCTGTAATCCCTGCTACTTGGGAAGCTGAGGCAGGAGAATCGCTTGAACCTGAGAGGCGGAGGCTGTAGTGAGCTGAGATCTGCCACTGCACTCCAGCCTGGGCGACAAAAGCCAAACTCCAGATCAAAAAAATCAATCAATCAATCAATAAAATTAAAAAAATAAAGCAGTCACACACACACACACAAATGTAAAATGTACTTTGAAAGAAATCTGGTAATGAATGTGGGAATGAAGAGGATATTGTAGCCCTGTTTTTAAAATATATGAAATGAAACTTCACAATATTAATGTTTGGTACTAGAAAACAAGTCAGGTTTATGGTATAACCCAAAATTATAAGACTGTCTAGCACATAAGTGTGATAGAGTTTCATAGCAGTGGAAAAAGTAGACACTGTTTAACAAACTTTTGTTAGGAACTACTTTGCTGCTTAATATAAGGACGTATTCCTAATACCCTTCTTGTAGGTATTTTAAACAAAACATATGAGTGAACCTAACATTAAAATAGAGTTTTCGTATCATAATTTAATAGCCAGAAGGCAAAAAGTAAAAAAACAACAAAAAAGACTGATGATAGATACTATTATAAATATTGCTAGTAGGATTGTAAATAACCTTCTGTAAAGAAAATGTAACACTCTCTGTCATAACTTAAATGTGCATATACTTTGACCCAGAAGTTCCGCTTCAGGGAATTTTTCTCATTCATATCCTAATGTGAATGAAAAGGTTGTGAACAAGGTTTTACACTGAAATAACATAACTGAACATAAGTAATGAAATTATTTATTATAAAGTTGTATAATGAGATTAAATATTACACTGTCATCAAAAATAATGAAATAGAACTCTGGGTACAGAAAAACAGAGAGTATTTTTTAATAAGTGAAACAAGGCAAGTTGTCGGAGTATATGATAGAGATGCTATATATATTAATATGAATACAGATTACGAATATGCCTATGAGTGATTGTTTATGAATATTCATGAAATATACACTCCATATTGATAGCAAATGCCATCTTGGCAGCATTTCATTCATTTAGTTATTCTCTAACACTCTATGGATTTAAAGCTTCATATCTTCATTTTTATACTTCATTTTTATATGATGTATGATTTTATGTCAACCCAAACTCATGCTTTAAAATAATTGCCTTGATTGTATGTACATATTTATTCTTCCAATTAACTTTATAATTAGCTTGTGAAGTATCACAGAAATTATGTTGGGAGAGCCGGGAGCAGTGGCTCATGTCTGTAATCTCAGTACTTTCAGAGGCTGAGGCTGGCGGATCACCTGAGGTCCGGAGTTCAAGACTAGGTTGGCCAGCATGGTGAAACCCTGTCTCTACTAAAAATAAAAAAAATTAGCCAGGCGTATTGGCATGGGCCTGTGATCCCAGCTACTTGGGAAGCTGAGGCGGGAGAATCGCTTGAACCTGGGAGGCGGAGGTTGCAGTGAGCCGAGATCGAGCCACTGCACTGCACTCCAGCCTGGGTGACAGAGGGAGACTCTGTCTCAAAAAAAAAAAAAGAAAAGAAAAGAAAAGAAATTATGTTGGGAATTTGAAAGGTATTATTTTGGAGATATAGCGTGACTTAAAGGAAATTGATATCTGTATAGAGCTGAATCTTTCATCCTCACAATAGCGTAGCTGTAGAGTTCAAAGTTTTTCTGTGTTTTTATAAATCTTTGTAGATTGTCTTCAGAATAATCTTGCACCACTTTTTGTCATGATATTCCTAAACACATTAGTTTCTTTTGTTATTATGACATGTAATAATTTTCTACTGCAAGTTTTAATTGGTTACTGCTCTTCTATATAAACATAATGGAATTTTATTGTTGATCATGTATGTAGTAATCTTGTTGAATTTTATTACTTTATTTCTTGAATTTGCTTATTTTCTTTACTTAGAGTTGAAGAAATAAATCATACATTTTATTTTGTTCAATTTTTGTCTCTTTTGGTCTTAGGGCTTTGGTTAAAAAAAATACCCTGTAAAATCAATTGGTTAGTCATCTATCTAATTTTTTGCTCTAACATTCATATAGGACAATAGTTACCTTTATCTTGAAAATGTTTATAAAGATATTTCAACTTTTGATCATTTGTATGTGTGTGTGTGAATGTTGAGTAGTATATAACTTTGAATGATATTTTAAATGTTTTTGATGATTTTTAGTATTAAGTCCCTAGAAGTTTGTCCACTTTATCTAGGTTTTCAATTTAAACGGTACAATTATACTGGTATTGCACTCCTATAATTTTTGTTCTTTAATCTACCAATGTTTAATTACTTTTTTCTTTTTAATCACTCCTGGTGTCTTTTTATTTCTCTCTTTGATTAAATTACAAATTTTCTAAGTTGTTATTCTTTTCAAATAACCACTTATAATTTTCTCCATAATTTTCTGCTCTTTTGAAAAATTATTTCTAACTTTGTTTCCCTTGATTCAGGAAACATTTCTTAATTTGAGCTTTTAGTTCTCTAATTTATTTTTTTAACTCTATATAATCTGCTCTTCATCTAGTTGTTTTGTTTTCAATTCAACAATTAAATTCTTAATTTATTATATCTCTAATTTGTTTTATTTTATTGTCCTCAGTTTTTGTTTCATAGCATCTTGTTTTTACTTAACAGTGCTGATTCCTTTCATTGCTTCATATAATCAATTTAAAGTGCTTTTCTGTTTTACTAGTAACTACCTTTTTTCTATGTAAGATCTCCTTATTGTTGTGGTTCTGTCATATTGGTCTTTCTCAGATGCTCTTTCTCTCAATTTCTACGAACCCGATCTGGCCTGTCTTTGGGAAGCTGCATCTGTTTCTTCTGTGGCTATAGTGGAGTGACCTGCAGTGGTTGGACTATTCAGTGTTCCCCCGTGGGACTGTGCAGCCTTTTGAAATAGCCTTGTCTATGGCAAGCACTTGGCTTACCCATGCAATATCACTTGTCAGGCATGCCTTACAGCTTCAGTCCACTGTGAATTCCTCTTCCTCTTCAGGAGCTTGCCTGTATATCACTTAGCTTAATGTTTATCTGGGCTTTTTCAGGTTACATGCAGGTGAGGGAGATTTCAGCATGAGTTCACTATCTGGTAAGATGAATTTACCATATCACTTTTGTAATAAAAATATTTTAAGCTTAAAATATCTACACAGTGCCTGGAATATATTAATTTCCTTGTAAATGTCTGTTGAACTGAAATAAATATTATAGTTTCAAATAATTAAATTTGATAAGCATAGAATTTGATGCTTGATCCAATTTATCTTTTTCAAAATCAAACAATCCTTTACTACTGTCAATTTCCAGACAATACACACTCTTATAATAATATAATGCCATTTAGTTTACTGAATGACAGAGTATGCCAGAGTACAGCTTCCTAGCCATAAAATCTGGATCTATCACATGCTCTTTTCATAGAAATTCTAATATTTTTCTATTATCAGTTTCACAATTCATCTATTTTTTACACGAAAAAACATATAACATTTTAGTGTGTCTTTTTTCATTGACTATCCTCAAATCATAATCATATATTGCAAATTAAAAATTGGCCTTTACTTGACAGAGGGGAGAAATATTTTCTTTGCTCATACCTTTTATGGTATGACCTAAAAAGTTATAGATGTCCATGCTCGGAAACTCACTCTTACTTGACAACTTTTTCCAATGATTACACTTTACTTCCCTCTTGCTCCATAAGTTCCACAATAACCTTTGCTCAAAAGTAATGGAATGTAACCTGAAGATATAAAGAAGTTTGCTTTTGAGATAAACTCTGAAGTTAGCTTTCTACAAAAGTAGGCACACCTTAAAGCATCTGAACAATTCAGTATTATCATATATTGGGCTGTCTCAAAGAAAGGGAGATTTTCATATTCTTCTCATATATAGAATGTTATCTCCCAAAGTTTGAACCATAGAGAGACCATATGCTAAGAAAAATGTCAATCCCTTTTAAGAACCTTGTAGAAATGCTTTATAGACCTGGCAAAGTACTTTGAACTCTCAAGCTAGTTGTATTATTTTTCTTCTATTTATACGTATTTATTTATTTATTTATTTATTTATTTATTTATTTATTCATTCATTTATTGAGATGCAGTTTTGCTCTGTTGCCTAGGTTGGAGTGCAGTGGTGCGATCTTGGCCCACTGCAACCTCTGCCTTCTGGGTTCAAGCGATTCTCCTGCCTCAGCTTCCCAAATAGCTGGGATTACAAACATGTGCCACCACGCGTGGCTAATTTTTGTATTTTTAGTAGAAACAGGGTTTCACTATGTTAGCCAGGCTGGTTTCGAACTCCTGACCTCAGATGATCCACCCGCCTCGGACTCCCAAAGTGGTGAGATTACAGCCCTGAGCCACCACACCCAGCCAGTTGTATTCTTCATACTTCAGGGCTCAGGTTTCCTCTAAATGCTCTGTGTTCCCTAAAATACTTGCCACAACCTCATGGCCAATGTGTCCATAGAATGATTTTGTATGATACAATACCTTCCTAAAAGTACACGTTACTTAAAAACAACATAGAGCAGCTCAGGGCAATAGAGTAATAACGCAGTTAAATGTTAACATTATCTGTTATTTTGATTCATTTTTATGCCAGATAAACCACATCAGAGAGATGTTGCTTCAATTTTAGATTTGCAACTATTTTCCTTTCCTCTGTTCCCATAGTTTATGTGGAAAATTTATTGATTTCAGATTACTTTCCCTACCACTGACAAGCTTAATTCTTTAAATTTAATTTAATTTTTCATTTCCATAGTTTTTAGTGTACAGGTGGTTTTTCGGTTACATAGATAAGTTCTTTAGTGGCGATTTCTGGGATTTTGGTGCAACATATCATCTGAGCATTGTACACTGTACCCAATGTGTAGTCTTTTATTCCTCAACCCCCTCCTACCCTTCCCCTCCAAGTCTCCAAAGTCCACTATATCATTCTTATGGCTTTGTATCCTCACAGATTAGCTTCCTCTTATAAGTGAGAACATATATGATATTTGCTTTTCCATTCCTCAGTTACTTCACTTAGAATAATGTCCTCCAGCTCCATCCAGGTTGCTGCAAAAAACATTATTTTGTTCCTTTCTATGACTAAGTAGTACTCCATGGGCTATATATATATATATATATATATATACACACACACACACACACACACACGCACACATATATATACATACACACACACACACACACACACACACACACATATATCTATCTCACATTTTATTCCACTCGCTAGTTAATGGGCACTTAGGTTGGTTCCATATTTTTCCAACTGTGAATCATGCTGCTATAAACGTGTGTGTGTGTATCTTTTTCATATAATGATTTTTTTAATCCTTAGGCAGATACCCAGCAGTGGGATTGCTGGATTGAATGGTAGTACTACTGTTAGTTATAGAAGGTACTCCATACTGTTTTCCACAGTGGTTGTAGTAGTTTACATTCTCACCAGCAGTATAAAAGTGTTCCCTTTTCACCACATCCACACCAACATCTATTATTTTTTGACTTTTTAATTATGGCTATTCTTGCAGGAGTAAGGTAGTATCTCATTGTGGTTTTAATTTGTATTTCTCTGATAATTAGTGATACTGAGCATTTTTTCATGTGTTTGTTGGCTATTGTATATCCTCTTTTGAGAATTGTCTATTCATGTCCTTTGCCCACTCTTTCATGGGATTACTTGTCTTTTTCTTGCTGATCTGTTTGAGTTCCTGTAGATTCTGGATATTAATCCTTTGTTAGATGCAGTTTGTGAATATTTTCTCCCACTCTGTAGGTTTTCTGTTTACCCTGCTGATTATTTCTTTTGCTGCACTGAAGCTTTCCAGTTTAATTAGTTCCCATTTATTTATTTTTATTTTTATTGCATTTGCTTTTGGGTTATTGTTCATGAATTCTTTGCCTAAGCCAATGTCTAGAAGAGTTTTTCTGATGTTATCGTCTAGAATATTTATGGTTTTGGGTCTTAGATTTGAGTCTTTGATCCAGCTGTAGCTGATTTTTATATTAGTTAAGAGATGAGAATCCAGTTTCATTCTTCTACATGTGGCTTGCCTGTTTCCCAGCCCCATTTGTTGAACAGGATATCCTTTTCCCGACTTATGTTTTTGCAGGCTTTGTCAAAGATCAGTGGGCTGTAAGTATTTGGATTTTTTTAATTGATTCTCTGTTCTGTTCCATTGGCCTTCATGCCTATTTCTATACCAGTACCATGCTGTTTTGGTAACTATAGCCTTGTAGTGTGAAGTCAGTTAATTTAATGCCTCCAAATTTGTTCTTTTTGCTTAGAATTGCTTTAGTTATGCAGGCTGTCAATATCCCTGATGAACATGGATACAAAAATCCTCAACAAAATACTAGCTAACTGAATCCAACAGCATATCAAAAGGATAATACATCATTATTAAGTGGGTTTCATACCAGGAATGCAGGGATGGTTTAGCATATACAAGTCAATAATTGTGTTTATGTGACATATCACATAAACAAAATTATAAACAAAAATCATTATCATCTCAATAGAAGCAGAAAAATAACTTGATAAAATCCAGCATCTTTTTATGATAAAGACCCTCAACAAAATAGGAATAGAAGGGACATTCCTGAAAGTAATAAAAGCCATCTGTGACAAACCCACAGCCAAGATAATACTGAATGGGGGAAAGTTGAAAGCATTTCCCTTAGAACTGGAATAAGACAAGGATGCCCACTTTCACCACTTCTATTCAACATAGTACTGGAAGTCCTGGCGAGAGCAATCAGACAAGAGAGAGAAATAAAGGGCATCCACATTGGAAAAGAGGAAATGAAACTGTCACTGTTCACCAATGATATGATTGTATACCTAGAAAACTCAAAAGATTCATCCGAAAAGCTCCTAGATCTGATAAACAAATTCAGTAAAGTCTCAGGGTACAAAACCAATGCACACAAACAAGTAGCACTGCTTTATACCAACAGTGACAAAGCTGAGTATCAAATCGAGAAATCTATCCATTTTACAAAGGCTGCAAAAACAAACAAACAAACAAACTTAGTACCATACTTAGCCAAGGATGTAAAAAATCTGTACAAGAAAACCTATGAAACATGGCTGAAAGAAATCACAGATGCCACAAATATAGAGGGGTAGAATCAATATTGTGAAAATGACCAGAAAATAACTTCCTTTAGCATTTCTTACAGGACAAGTCTAGTACTGATGAACATCCTTAGCTTTTGTTTTGTGGTAAGTTTTTTATATCTCCTATTTTTTTTTTAAGAATGATTTTGTCAGGTATAATATTCTTGGTTGGAGGTTTTTTCTTTTAGCACTTTGAATATACCATCACACTCCTTTCTGGCCTGCAAGGTTTCTGCTTAGAAATCCACTGACTTTACACCCTGCTTTTCCAGGAAACATTAGTATAAATCTGTCTAGTTATTCATATTAAATTTTCTAAAAATATAAAATGATATTTTTTCTCAACATTTATAATTTTAGCATTAACTAACATTCACCACTAAGTACTGTATTTGGCCTTGAGAGTTGAGTTAAATATTTTGTTGGGCAAGAATCAGAGGTGAGGTATAAAACACATTGTTGTGCTAAAAGGACCATGCAGATTATCCAACAAAGTTTTTCATTGCTAAAATATTACATCATAACCTGTATAAATGATCCATGATAATAATACTAATATTTTACATTTATTACACATTTGCCAGGTTCTATGCCAAATGTTTATGTTATTATTTTACTAATACTTGGGGCAATCCTATAAAGTAAGTACTATTGTTATCCCATTTTATAGATGATAAAACTGTGGCTTATAGAGGCTATCAGGATCTGTCTGAAAACAAATAAGAAGTTGCTGAAGAGAGGTGAAGGAAGGTGTTAAAGGAACCAACAAGGTACAAGACTAGGAACAGTAAAAAGTTATCATACCTCTAGGCTTGAGTGACAAGGAGAAACAAGATTATCTGAAATCAGTTAAGAGCCGAAATGGTGTAAAAAGCAATATGTTTCTGAAAGTACAGTTACCATCAAACAAGAACCCTAGGTTTCAGATTCCCAGGCAACTTATCTTTTCACTACAGCCCAAGGGCAGAGCTTCAAGAAGTATCCAGTTTAGTTATGGTCATTTTCTCTGGGTTTAGCACCTTGCTTTTCCCGCAGAAAAGTAGGGTCTGAAGCACTAACTGCAATAGGAGTATAGCAGTTAAGCACTGGGTTCCGGTGAGCGTCACTTGCTTATGAAAATCAGATACACCATCTCAAAGGCTGTTCATTCTTAGAGGCCCTTGGAGAGGAGCAGGAATGCAAATCAAAGAAAAGCATGATAGCTTGAAATGAGAAGCAGAAATAGCCTGGTAAACATTCCACAGTGGAATGTTTATAAGAACCATCTTATAAGAACCATCAATACGTGTCTTCTAACAAATTGACTTGATACACTTTATTGCGCTCTACACAATGCTGAACACTTCTGAAACCTTTTCTAGAGCCTGTATTTCTAGAGGCTATGTTTTCTAGAGTTGTGGGCCAACATGCCTATGTCAAGAGGAAGGGAAGTAAAAAATGTGAGGTTCTGAAAAGCCTGTTTATTAGTTAAAGAAATAGAGATCTTTATCCAAGAAGAGAAAAAAAAAATCAGTGGAGTCAAGTAGTATAAAAAAATCCATAATTGCCATGGGAAAAACTGGGGCTTAAATGAGAAAAAATAAATAAATTAAAAAACGACTTAGTTTTATGTTAAAAAACATGGCTCTAATTATAATTCAAAATGCTAAATTCTGTCTAAAAACAAAATGGATTGTCTTGCAAGGTGATGAATTCCTCATCCCAGGAAGTATTTCAGCAGGATGTCATGAAAGGGCTTCCTATATTCAAATATCTTACAAGATTATCTCAAAAATACTTTTGAAGTACATGTAAGATTCTGGGCAATGTCACAAAAGTATAATCTTTAGAACGTTGCAGGCCTCTGTATGATCTCTTATCTTGCAAGGAAACATTTGCCTAGACAGTTCAGCTGGCTGAAAATGAGTTTCTAAAAGTTTCCAGAAAAGAAATTTTAAAAATATGCTTTCTTCTAAATTATATTGTTATGAATTCTAAGTAAATACCAAAAAACTTCAATAGGACTTTGCCAAAATTTATATTGCTTTTATTGTTCTATTTTCATTTGATTAGCTCTCTGCAGTGTACATCAACCCTTTAGCCAGAATGCAGAGACAATGAGAAATTTAACATTTTTCTCCCATTAACATTCTATCATTAGGGCTGAGCAAGTTAAATTTCCACTGGTTCAGTGTGCTCTGCATAAGATAGCAGAAATCTTCCACATTGAGGGAGTTCTTCAGGGTACAGGATATCATATCACTAATGTATTATCTGCTGAATGTAGTCTTCATTTTGGAGTATAATGAGAGAATAAACGATTGTCTGGGCTTGGAGTAGATGACACATATGGGATTTTGCTTGAACAAAAGGAATTACAATCACCTAATGGTTGGAAGGAGTTCTAAATATCTACAGATCAGATATTTCTTCTAAGATGAAATTGCTACTTACAGTTAACCAGATAATTTCTCAGTTTGAATTGTGGGTCATTGAGGGTCAAGGGCAGCAGCCGTACAGCCACAGATAATAGCTAAGTCTTGCTAAATATCAGCACCCTCTGAAATCCTACTAAAACGTGTCCAATGGGAAATAAGTTATTTTCTGCCGTTCTGATTAGCAGTCATCTCTTTTTCCCATGTGTTCTTGGGGAAAAAATTTATTTTCTGCCTTTCTGATTAGCAGTCATCTCTTTTTCCCATGTGTTCTTTAAGTGTCCAGAAACTCTAGGGTCTCTTTCCCCTTCTCCTGTTAAAATCTTTCTAAAGAAGAAAGCTGAGAGACTCATACAACTCATAGTGATCTCAGGTACATTTGTATTTTAAAAGCACTTAATTTTATTTTGTTGCTCTTAAAACTTGTATTTACCTTATCTTAGCTACTGTATCACCATAGGAATAGTTCAATAAGACAAATGATGCTATTATTTTAGTGATGTATACACTACAATAAGATAAATACAAACTTGAGTTGTACATGCTATAACCTAGCACATCTGCAAACATATATACACGCATATACACATTCAGTCAAAAAGAGAATCCAGAAAGCACTCATTTTACTTTATTTTAACCCACAGAATACAAACCTAAATGACTAAGACTACAAAAGGCCATTTAAGGTGCTGGTCAGAAGGCCCCACAGGACAGTAGCTATGTAACTAGAATATTCTTAACCCCACTTGTGCCTTTGCATCAGCTGAAGTATTTCCCAGGTTAACAAAATACAGAATATTAGTGTTTGAGGCAATCATAGCAAATTTGTTCAAGTCTCTCAACCTGGAGATAAAAATGCAAAACAAAATAAAACACAACAACAGCAACAAAACCCTGAGACTCAAAAAGATGTAGGAATTGATTGTCACAAAACAACTGTCCAGTGTCAAAATCAAAATGAAAACTCAGATTTTTCCTACTTGTAGTCTTCAAAATATTTATATACCCCTTCATTCATTCTTTGATATTCTGCATTTTTATGTAATATCTTGAAGTTATGTGGATATTCTTTTTATGTGAGAAATTTAAGTGAAGATGTGATTTTTAAAGTAGAATTATGGTAATATTATATATAAAAATGTATTTTTTAAGGAAAATATTTTGATGAGTGCATACGTGTGTGTGTGTGTGTGTGTGTGTGTGTGTGTGTGTTGGCAGGAGCAAGAAATTAATGTTTCAGAGTAAAGATGTGTTTTTATGCTATTAAGTACAACTCAAGTGTGTATTTATCATATCATAATGTATAAATCACTAAAATAAGTGACTACCTTTGTTTTATTGTCTTTTGTCTTATTGAGCTATGCCTATGGTAATACAATAACTAAGATAAGGTAAACACAAGTTTTAATAGGACTTGCTATAATCTAGCATATTTGCATATGTATAGCCACACATATATATATATTTTCAATCAAAGAGAGAATCCAAAAAGCAACTATGTAAACATAATTTAACCAGAATATGAAATCATTCTCAAAAATTAGATATTTTTCCAATATTTCAACCACATTTAACAACTTTGTAAAATATTGAAAATACTGACTTAGTAGAAAAACTTTCTTCCATCAATTCTATATATTCATCAAAATACAACACTGTCATTCTCCAAAATTTTATCAGTACTTCTATAATTCATGTCAGTGACAACTTGTCATTAAAAGCTGTTTTTAATAAACTATCAAAAGCACTACAAGGGGAGAGGGGGTTGTAAAGAAATAAAAATAAAAAAGCTTAAAATTGAGTTGATGCAAAATTAGATTATCCCCCTAAAAAATATAATGCAAATCATCATTGATAACTTGATTATAGGCAGGAAGTACATTATAGTCTTTGCATCTCAAAATCAGAAGCTGTCAAATGATGCTTGTGGGTTGATATTATTTTGAAGTTATATTGTGATTATTAGACACATTCTCAAATATTTGTTTGTAATTTATCTTTATTTGCAAAATAATAACCAGGCATGAAAGTTGAAATTTAAAAAGTGTCCAGAAAATGAAAATAGAGGAAAGCATTAAAGCTGCTGCCTATGATTAATTTCTTTCTCATTTCTCTGGGAAAGAAAAAAAAAAAGCAGATGACTCAGATTAATTTCCTTATAAATTTGATGGTAATTGGACTTCCTGATATATAGACTATTTGTGTTTGCTAAGAGAAGAGCCTTTATCTATAGAAAGGTTTTATTAAGAGAATCCTGGATTAAGATTGCTTATAGTAAACAAATATAGAACCTGTGGATTCAGCAGGCATGACTCCATGGAAAATGTCTGATATGGTTTGGCTCTGTATTCCCACCCAAATCTCATCTTGTAGCTCATCTTGTAATCCCCATGTGTTGTGGAGGGACCCAGTGGCAGATGATTGAATCATGAGGGCGGGTCTTTCCTGTGTTGTTCTGGTGATAGTGAATGGGTCTCACGAGATCTGATGGTTTTAAAAACAGGAGCTTCTCTGTATAAGCTCTCTCTTTGCCTGCTGCCATCCATGTAAGATGTAACTTGCTCCTCCTTGCCTTCTGCTATAATTGTGAGGCCTCCCAAGCCATGTGAAACTGTAAATCCAATAAACCTCCTTCTTTTGTAAATTAGCCAGTCTCAGGTTTGTCTTTATCAGTGGTGAGAAAACAAACTAATACAATCAATTGGTACTAGAAGTGGAGTGCCTTTGATAAGATACCTGAAAATATAGAAACGACTTTGGAACTGAGTAACAAGCAGAGGTTGGAAGAGTTTGGAGGTCTCAGAAGAAGACAAGAAAATGTGGGACTGTTTGGAACATCCTAGAGACTTGCTGAATGGCTTTGCCCAAAATGCAGATTAGCAAAATGGACAATAAAGTCCAGGCTGAGTTGGTCTCAGATGGAAATGAGAAACTTGATGGGAACTGAAGCAAAGGTGACTCTTGTTATGTTTTAGCAAAGAGACTGGTGACATTTTGCCCCTGCCCTAGAGATTTGTGGAACTTTGAACTTGAGAGAGATGATTTAGGGTATCTGGTGGAAGAAATTTCTAAGCAGCAAAGCATTCAAGAGATGACTTGGGTGCTATTAAAGGCATTGAGTTTCAAAAGAAAAACAGAACATAAAAGTTTGGAAAATTTGCAGCCTGACAATGCAATAGAAAAGCAAATCCCATTTTCTGAGGCAAAAATCCAAGCCTGCTTCAGAAATTTGCATAAGTAACAAGAAGTGGAATGTTAATCCCCAAGACAATGGGGAATATGTCTCCAGGGCATGTCAGGGACCTTTGAGGCAGCTCCTCGTATCACAGGCCCAGAGGCCTAGGAGGAAAAAGTGTTTTTGTGGGCCATGCCCAGGGTCCCTATGATGTGTGCAGCCTAGGGACTTGGTGCTCTGTGTCCCAGCCTCTCCAGCCAGTAGCTGAAAGGGGCCAATGTAGAGCTCAGGTCATGGCTTCAAAGGGTGCAAGCCTCAAGCCTTGGAGGCTTCCACATGGTCTTGAGCCTGCAAGTGCACAGAAGTCAAGAATTAAGGTTTGGGAACCTCTGACAAGATTTCAGAGGATATATGGAAACACCTGGATGCCTGGGCAGCAGTTTGCTGTAGGAGCAGGCTCCTCATGGAGACTCTCTGCTAGGTCAGTGCAGAAGGGAAATGTGAAGTGGCAGCCACCACAGAGTCCCTACTGGGGCACCGCCTAGTGAAGCTGTGAGAAGAGGGCCACCATTCTCCAGATCCCAGAATGGTAGATCTACTGACAGCTTACACCATGCACCTGGAAAAGCCGCAGACACTCAATGCCAGCCCAAGAAAGTAGCTGGGAGGGAGGCTGTGCACTGCAAAGCCACAGGGGTAGAGCTGCGCAAGACTATGGGAACCCACTTCATGCATCAGTGTGACCTGGATATGAGACCTGGAGTCAAAGGAGATCATTTTGGACCTTTAAGATTTGACAGCCCCACTGGATTATGGACTTGCATAGGGCTTGTAGCCCCTTTGTTTTGCCCAATTTCTCCCACTTGGAATGGCTGTATTTACCCAATGCCTGTACCCTCATTGTATCTAGGAAGTAACTAACTTGCTTTTAATTTTATAGGCTCATATGTGGAAGGGAATTGCCTTGTCTCTAATGAGACTTTGGACTGTGGACTTTTGAGTTAATGCTGAAATGAGTTGATACTTTGGGGGACTGTGGGTATGACATGATTGGTTTTGAAATATGAGGATATGAGATTTGGGAGAGGCTGGGCAGAATTATTTGGTTTGACTCTATGTCCTCACCCAAATCTCATCTTGTAGCTCCCATAATCCCCATGTGTTGTGGGATGGACACAGTGGGAGATGATTGAATCATGAGTGCAGGTGTTTCTCGTGCTGTTCTTGTGATAGTGAATGGGTCTCACAAGATCTGATGGTTTTTAAATTGGGAGTTTCTCTGTACAAGCTCTCTCTTTGCCTGCTACCATCCATGTAAGATGTGACTTGCTCCTCCTTGCCTTCCACCATGATTGTGAGGCCTTCCAAGCTATGTGGAACTATAAGTCCAATAAACCTCTTTCTTTTGTAAATTGGCCAGTCTTGGGTATGTTTTTATCAGCAGCATGAAAATGGACTAATACAATGTCATATAAGCTGTGTAGCTATCTAACTATAAAATGAATATGTCTTATAACTTAAACACTCCTTACTCCATGAGTTAGCTCACATAGTTCAATAGAGACTAAATGTAATATTCTGGCCCAGAGTATAGGCCTGATATGACAAAGATTTGGGAGGCTATCCTTGATGTCTCAAACCTCCCTTTGCTTTGCTTGTGTGTCTTGATAGAATGTATCCTTGAATTATGTAGCAAATCAAAATTCTGACATTACCTTACCTTATTCATGTGAATCTGATTTGATAATATGATCTTTGTGATTGCTTGATCATCTGTTTATATCCTGCCTCTTAGAACATTGTCAGTATCAAATGTTCTCCCAAACTCAGTCTTATCACCACAATTTTCTTGACAAATATCATGGCACCACAAGACGTCCCAAATTCCCACATCATTCCCTTCCAGATTCTCTTCCCAATAGGGCTCCAGTATTACCTTATCTGCTTTTATTCCATACCCCTCCTGAGATTTCTAATGCTTCTACTGTGCCCTTAGTACTCGGAGGATATAATCAGCATAATGCTATGTTTCTCTGACATTTTTTTTTTCTGAATGATTTTCACAGTAACTTTTTTTAACTGTAACCTGATTTTCTTCTGAGGCACTACCCACTGAAAAAAAAATTTTCACATGGAAGCTGTTTTATCTTTCACATATTCTGTCTCACTGAGCCCAAAGATAGATGTCTATCTTGCTTCTCATTTCTTTTCATCTCATTTTATCTCTATCATCCCGTAACTCTCACACTGACTACCCACTTTGGCACAATTTCCTACAAAACTTTGACAATTCATTCCTTGGTGACTTTAGCTGTCACTCATTATAATGTGATGATTTGTCACAGTTAGCTGTTCCTAGCAGACATACATTGCTATGAATAGTTTTATTTATTCATCTGGAAAAATTGTAAGTGTCATGAGATCCAAAGAATAACCACTTCTTTAGAATCCAAACCCTCTAACATCAAAGATACTTGCACCCTTTTCTCCAAATCTTTTCCACATTTTTAGAAAATATTTCCAATAACTTGGTCTTCCAGTTCCTTGTCCTCCTGTTCTCCAATGGCCTTGACTTCTGGTCTATCTCAGCCACTCATTCCTATCTTTATACCATAACATTTAATGCCTATTTTTTTTAGAACTCTGAAGTGTCTATTATTATTTATAAATCTTTTATATAGATATAGACACAGAAAAAAACACAAATCTATAGATACAGACATAAATAGAATTTGAGGAAACTTCTTGAGGACCTCCTCTCTCATTGGCCACCAACAAAATTAGGCATTTCTAACAGAGATTGGCAATGTTTATATAGCCTTTTGTAGATAACAAGGTGATTCTTCAGACATTCCCATACAATTGATACAAAATGATTTCTCCTCTGCTGATTTTTATTTCCATATGCAATGGCATTCATTTTAAGAAATGTTTTTTGAAGATTCAATACTAACCCTTGATTTTTTAGCATAACTTTGGTACCTGATAATAACTTTTAAATTATCCACTTATTATTTTTTGTACCTGCCACGTATTAAACGTGTATCTGAAGGAGACAGAGACCAGTGATGTGTTTAAAATAGCAGAGACACTGAAGAAGTGATTATGTGATCTAAATAGACAGGGATTGAGAAGCAGAAGGATGATCAGGGGAAATAACTAATATTTATTGTTTATTAAAGTAGAATTTACCTTCATCAGAATGTACAGGTATTAACTGTTTATCTCAAGGAGTTTTACAATCATATACACCCATGTGGCCACTACCCAAAGCAAGATATAGAACATTTTCATGATTTAAGAGAGGGTTCTCATTCTTATTTTTAGTTCATCCTTCACAGAAAATTCCCTTCCTGACTTGTATCATCACTGCTCCTTTTGCCTTTGTTTGGACTACATAGGGATGGAGTTCATATCTTTTCACGCAAAAGATATTGAGAGAAATTCTAATCTTATAAGGGGAAATATGAATACTTATTATTTAAAAAATAAGCAGGAAGATAAATTCTCAACCAGTAAGAATTACGTTTAAAATAGAAAGAAGCTGTGTGTTTACAAGTAAAGCATGTATAATAGATGACAATTTCTCTTTCTCACACACACAAACACACACACACAAACTCACGTAAATACACAATATTATAAAGACAATGGAAATGAATAGAGCCTTAAACTGTAGTAAAAGTTGGATGGGCTATGGTTGAAGAAAGGAAGCTCAGACAGCAATCAGGGAATTTCAGGGAAACATAATCATCAGTGATTTGTAAAGATTAGGCTGTAGAGAAAGCCTGAGAAGCTATTTTTAAAATAAGCCTTATAACATCACTAATCAGCAGTAGTGACTGGCCAAAATATCAGCATCGCACTGTAGTTTCTCACCTAAATGTTGATTTCACATTGATTCAAAAGGTTTTGTTTTTAAAGAGAAAATATTACTGCACTCCATTCTGACGTGGTTTGCTAGTATATGGATCAGGAAAAGAATGCATACATTAAGAACAGTAAAATACCCTCTATTGAATCACATTATTATATTTATCCTTGATTGTAACTATTTTATCCCCTGCAGTATACCCATTAGAAACAAAATGGGTGTCCTAAACACATACTGTCCTCTTCACTGTGGGTTAATGCCCTATATTAGTCTTAAGGTTTTTGCATAATATGATAGCACAACAACCAATCGAATGTGTACTTTTCTAGAATATGTGCAGTTTATTTCCTAATTATATCCGTTGCTATTCCCGGTCTCACCTGCAGTCCCTGGACCTTTTTGAAACAAGTGAAGGACATTATTGTTGGTTATAGCACCTGAAATAAGTGATTCCCGCAGATTGGTCTTCCTCTTTCAGTAAGAGAGATCTCTTTTAAAAAGAGATATCAAAGCAAAGCCTAATGGGACATTTTTCGTTGTCCTAACTCTGCTTGGCATATCCAGTGTTAGACATTTCCCAAGAAATTGAACTGATGCCACTCTGACTCTCCTGGAATCAGTGCTCAAAAAAGCAACCAACCAGCAAGTTCTTGTAAAGCACGCTTCAGTCCGCATCACTCCTCAGTTCATAACCTTTTAGTGGGTAAAAACAAGGTCCTTTTCTTATTAAATTGCTTCTATTAATGTTGATTTCTTATTAATTTGTATGTTATTTTTATGTATTTTGAATACTAATTCTCCTTCAATAAAAAACATTTTAAAATATATTCTCCAAGTTTGTGGCTTACGGTATTTTCAAATCATTTTAATGTAGTCAAGTTGGTGAATGATCTGTTTTAGAGTTTGATATTTTGTAGGTCTAATTTTTTAGTTCTTTCTCTATTCTAATATTTAAGTATATATTCTATATTTGTTTCCTTACACTTTGAAGTTTTGTCATTCATATTTAAGTCTTTAATTCAATTGCATTTTTTAAAGTGTTATATAAAATCAAAAACGGATGCCACCTTTTATATTGTTAAAATTGTCTCAGAACCATTTATTAAATAGTCATTTCCCCACTGATGCCCATTGTTAATACATCAGAGTCTCTTGTCATTTATCATTTCTATTAGCTTTTGACTCCACTGCCACCTTCCCAATGAGGACTTTACTTATTTTCCTATAATTATACTCTACCCTTCACACAATCACAGATAAGCTTTCTATGTACCTTTCTTGGATAATTTTTCTCTGTAGCAATTATCACTACTGATGTATTATATGTTTTAGTTATTCATCTCATTGATTTATTTTCCCTCAGCTATACCACATCTCCATAAGAATAGAGTTTTATTTGCTCTATTGTTGCTGTATCACTAAACTTTCAAACAAAATTAGAATACAATAAGTGCTAAAAACATATTAACTCATGAAATTTATAGTCTGTATGTTTTTTGCCATTCCTATACAAAATGTCTTAATTATTATTTTACAATGTGTCAATATTTTGTATCTCAATCTATTCACCTGGTCTTCTTCACTGAGAGTATCTTGGAACTGGGTTAAATTTACTTGCACAGCTATAAAAAATACCCTATTTAGGGGGATGTTAAATCAGCATACCAATTTGGGAGAAACTGAAAATTTTTTACATTGAGACTTCTTTTCCACAAATATTGTTTATCTCTTTAGTTGTGTAGGTCTTATTTAATTGCCTTTAAGAATATTTGTAATTTTGTATATACAATTCTTGCATACATTTTGCTAGTGTGTTTCTTAAGTTCATTTTGTATTTGTTGCTGTTGTAAATGATAATTTTTATTTATTTATTTATTTTTGAGATGGAGTTTCACTCTTGTTGCCCAGGCTGGAGTGAAATGGCGCGATCTCTGCTCACAGCAACCTCTGCCTCCCCGGTTCAAGCGATTCTCTTGCCTCAGCCTCCCAAGTAGCTGGGATTACAGGCATGCGCCACCACGTCCAGCTAATTTTGTGTTTTTAGTAGAGACGGGGTTTCTCCATGTTGGTCAGGCTGGTCTCAAACTCCCAACCTCAGGTGATCCGCCTGCCTCTGCCCCCCAAAATGCTGGGGCCTAAATTTTTTTATAGAGGTTAAATTAGGTTTTTAAAATACAGACTGAAAAATGAGTTTTATTTTCTATTTCAAACACAGATGTACTTTGTCTCTTCTTGTGTATTCTTTTGTCTTAATATGATGGTGAATACCTCTAATAAGTTGTTGAATGAAAACCATAAGTCAGTTTTATCTTTCTCCTTATTTTAACAATAGCATTTACAAATTCACCACTGAAGTTATATTTGTTGTAGGAGTTTTCCTGGGGGTATTCTTTTTCAGATTAAAATTTTTTATTTGACTTATTTACTTCATATTTTTATTAAAAAAGAATATTTTAAAACTCTATTAATGTGTTATTTAGACTGTTATTGTGACTTCCATTTTTATGTTCTGTAGACAGCATTATAATGCTAGAATAAGACTTAAGTCATAATATTGTAGTATACTTTTGTATATTACTTGTTAATCTTTAAATAATTTTTATGTATATTCTTACATATATATTATGTATGTATAATAAAAACAGTCTTTATTAGTCTTTTCTCATTTGGCTTTGAGTTTGGTGTTAAAGATAAAAATATCCCATAAAATAAATTAGGAGGGGTTTTTGTTTATTTTTTCCTGGAATAGCTTATGTATATTTTGACATATGTATTACATTATGTTACTATATATTGAACTCACTCTAAAAACCATCTCAGTCTGAAATTTTCCCCTACAGAAGAATTACCAATTGCTGTTTCAATTTTGTTAATAATTTTAGGACTATTTAGTCTTTTTGTTTCTCCTGATTCAATTTTGGTTAATGTGGTTTCAGGAATTGTTCATTATTTCTAATTTTTAAAAGGATATATGTTTTTTCTTTTAATCATCTATGGGAACATTGTATATATTGCATTTTACTTTTAGCTTTTTATTATGTAAAAATAAGACATCCACAAACGTAGATAAAATACTGTCACAAACTCCCATGTATACACATCTATCAGTTTATGTGCATTGCATCAATAAATAAATAATTCTACAGAAATTAAAGTTAATTAACTAGAACAACTTATATGAATAGCTATGATTCTCGAAAGAGTTGTATAACAGATGCAAATTCCCAGATGTGTATGATAGAACATCATTTAAGTTTAGATGTAATAATTTATAGCTAATATTTAAGAAAATATATCACAAAAATATTGCTATAGGCTAGTTTTAATACTACTGCTCAATTCTGCGATAATTTCACTGTTATCCCTTCCAAAACTGTTCTTATGTTTTATTATGTCCTCACAGTCTGCAGCAACTTGTATGGCATTTTAGTTCTGATGTCTTCCTTTTCAAATTGCTGGCAGAGGGCACCTAGTTTCTGGTTTTAGGGTTCACACAGGGCATTATCTCCCAAAAAGTTCAATCCAATGTCTTTTCAGTACTAGGAGGGATTTAAACCTTAGAGTTCAAATTCCCTCTAGAAATAAAAAGAAGGGATTTAACATTTAGAGTTTGATATGAGATGGAATGACAAGGCATGGCGTTGCGAATAATTTGGGCGGAGCTATAATTCTACTTCACTGTTTATGAATAGAAAACACTATTTTAGATGACTGACCAATTTTTTTAAAAACCATACCTATTATTTTCTTCTCCTCGCAACATCATGTTAGGGTAAGAGTGGTGCTGGTTTTTTTTTGTCTTTTTTTTCTCTCCTTTCTAAGATTTGTTCTTTGTTAAAAGAGACAGAAATGCCATGCTTCAGTATTATTCAGAGGCAATATATATTATATATTCCATAGTTTGGAATTTATCAATATTTAGTTGCATCTAATATTTCCTTGAAGCAAGTTGGAATTTTCCACTTAGCAATTTTTATGTAAGATTCAGATCATAAGTGCACATACTGGAACATGAGTTAAAGATGGGATGAGGAAGGATGAGATTGTTGTTATCCTAGAAACTAGTTGATAGCGTTTGCCTGTGTCCACACCCAAATCTCATCTTGAATTATAACCCCTACAATTTCCATGTGTTATCAGAGGGCCAGGTGGGAGGTGATTGAATTATGGGGGCAGGTCTTTCCTGCACTGTTCTCTGGATAGTGAATGAGTCTCACGAGATCTGACGACTTTAAAATGGGAGTTTCCCTACACAAGCTCTCATTTATTGCCTGCCGCCATCCACATAAGATGTGACTTGCTCCTCCTTGCCTTCTGCCATGATTGTGAGGCTTCCCCAGCCATGTGGATCCGTAAGTTCAATTAAACGTCTCTCTTTTGTAAATTGCCTAGTCTTGGGTATGTCTTTATCAGCAGCATGAAAATGGAATATTACACTAATAATAGTTAAGTAAAGAATTTAGAATTTGAAAGTTAAGTAAGTAATTTAGACGTTACCATATTGGGAAGTAAAATGGAAACATTAACTTCACTTTACAATTGTTTTTTTCAACTATATGGCATGTTAGATACAAGACAAAAAAAAAAACGAGAAAGCAAACACTAGGACCCATCTAACACCAACTAATTCAGAATCGCTGAGGGCTGGGCTCAGGTGTTGGTAATTTTAAAATTATCTCCTAAGTTACAAGGAGTGAGTGTTGAAATACTCACCAGAAAAGTATTTAAAATCAAATGTTAATAAGCAACACTATTAGATGGTAATTAACATATTAAATGTGCAGGCTTTAATTATATATGTGTGTGTGTGTATATAATATATATTTGGATTTAGACCCTCTATATTTCATAGCTAATTAAAATAATTATTATGTTCCAATATTTACTTCCTATAATGGGTCTTTAAATGTATTCAGAAATAACCAAACTATCATTTTAGTTTTTAATTGTTTAAAATTGGGGAAAAAAATCTTTGAGACTAAAGGATATGCAATTAAACTCACTAGCCAGTGTACAATTTCCATGGAAAATAAAACTAAATGTTCTGAACATCACAATATTCATCAAGGAGGAAAAAAAAGCCCTTTGCTATGGGCTTTTGTATGGTTAAATTTTTAGAATATTTATAAAAATAATCCATATAAAAAAGACATTATTTAAAATATAGCAAGAAAGGAAGATGCTCTGGAAAATAGGATCTGTATCATTTCAGTTAATAAAACAAAATATGATGACTCAAGAGACATAAAGGAAAACAATATGAAGATGACTTTTGAGCATCAGGTTTAGAGAATATGTTTATGTAAGAACTCCATTTCAAAAGACAACTCTTTTTCTTTAGGAAAATTTATAGACGGTCTTTTTGAATGTCAAATGTGACAGATGCCCATCCTCATAGCTAGAATGAAGGATAAAGAGATAGTTGAGTTACAATGATTAAAGTTGGGGAATTTTTAGCTTCTTGGGACAACCCGGTAGACTCATGGGGGAAAAAAAAGCCTCAACAACATGGTAGATCGCCAGCAACAGTCTGAGAAGGGAAGAAGGACTCTTGTAGGATTTGATTTGCCTTTGAAGAGAGGCAAGGGAATAACTACGTAGGAGTGGGAAGAGGGTATCAGGCCAAGAAGGAGCCAGGGTTTTATAAACCCACAGTTTGGAGTCTTGATCCATTTCATTTTATTTTAAATTTTAAAAAGAGTGTGACCCCATGTGTATGAATTACACACACCTAACAAGCCCTTCTAGATAGTCCAAAAATAAACTTCATGAATACCAAAACTATAAATCCAGGATTCTCAAATTAGGGCACTTAAGAATAGACTCCAGTGTGGTGTGAGAAGAGATGGAGTTAGAAGAAGGATAAATAGTCTTAAAATAGGGTACACAGACTATGGGTTACACTAAAACTTTTCAAAGAACAACATAGCCATAAATATTAAGATAATTAATCAGTGGATTCTAATTTCCATTTTTACTCCTTCCTAAAAGATATAGCTACAGTCCAGGTCTCTTGTTCATTTTCCATTTCCCTTTCTCTTTTCAAAATTACTCTTCTCTCACTTTACAAAAGAAAGGCACATTTGTCCAGCCTGCCAGAACTTTTTAGCACTCTTCAAGTTTTCAGTGTTGCTCAGCAGTGGAGTGCACAAAATTCTCGGGAACAAAGGGACAATTCTAATTATTAGTGTTGAGGGGCCTCCTTCAATCAAGACAACAAAAACCTTTAGTGTGTTTTGTATCTTTCTATGCTTTTTACATATTTTTGTTCAGGACAATGGATGGTATTAGCGATAGGATATTTTGGCCTGTGTAAGTGCGATACCATGGAGTTTGTCCCCGCAAACTTCATGTTAAACTTTGGTCCTCAATGTTGAAGGTGGGACCTAATGGGAGGTGTTTCGGCTCATGGGGACAGCCATTCCCTCATGAACGGCTTGGTGCCATCCTTGCAGTAATGAGTTCTCTTTTTATTAGTTCCCAAGAAAGTTGATTTTTAAAAAGAATCTGCCACCTCCCCCCGCTTCTTACATCCTCTCTCATGTGAACTCTGCACATCCCAGCTCTCCCTTTCCTGCTACCACAAGTGGAAGCAGCCTGCAGCCTTCATCAGAAGCAGATGCTGGTGCCGTGCTTCTTGTACAGCCCGCAAAGCTGTAGGCCTAGTAAATCCCTTCTCTATAAATTACTCAACCTCAGTTATTCCTTTATAGAAACGCTAAATAGACTAAGACAGTTGGATAATCTGAATTCATGAATATTGTAGAGCATGGTGGTAGAATTAAGGAAAAATTCCCTTTAATGTCTTTCCCTCTACTCTTCAATAACTATTGTCAAATAGTACATTATTCCTGAAGAACAGTTATTTGAGAATTTTGGCAAAAGTTTTTTTTTAATGCTATGAATCCATCTCCTTCTAAAAATATTACTTACAAAATTTCTGAAATCTACGAAAAAGCTATTAATTTTTAATTATAAAACATTAATATTAGTAAAAGTGTAAGTAAAGCTAGAAATCTCATTTAGCCACCAACATTATCTTGGGAGCCTTTTAAATTAGCTTTTCCCAGTGTGAAAGCTAGGACTTAGTGTAGGAAAAATTATAATATCTGTTGCACTATTGATAGTTTAAAAATATTAGATGCAAAGTCTATCATGGAAATTAAATTGGTATCCTGTGAATACAGAACTATACTTTACAGATATCAGAAAACAGGAGAGAACATTGTTCAATACATTTTGTCAAAACTTGCTGTAAATAAAGAGTACAATTTGAGTGATGAGGTCCAGGGATGTTTCCAATCTCTATCTATTAAAATTGGATATTCATATGTATTTTAAAGAAAATCTTCATTAATGACTATGTGTGATGTGCAATTCTTGTCAAATAATATTATCCTATAAACATATGTCCAGAACACTATCACTGTTGTTTGAGTAGATTCTGGCTGGATGGGCAGTGATCAGGCACAAGAATGGTTTACTGTTCATCCTTCCACTTTAAAAATTACCTTATTTGAGGAATGCTATTTTTAAAATAATCTCTTTAAATTATGTGTCAACTGTATACATTGGTCAGTATTGAAAAAACAGAAATTCAAATATCTTAAAATAGTAGATTATAGCAATGTAAGAATCTGAGTAGATATGAAGAAATGTATGTGCTGATGTTTTAAATTAGGCATTCATGAGGAGCTAGTAAAGTACAACAGAAATAGTCAATCTGGAAATTGTGGAATGTAGTTGGAAGCTTTAGTAAGACATGAGTTTTACATTTATGAAGAGTAAAGTAAGTATAGCCTGGGTGTGGTGGCTCATGCCTTTAATCCCAGCACTTTGGGAGGCCAAGGTGGGTGGATCACTTGAAGTCAGGGGTTTGAGACCAGCCTCGCCAACATGGTGAAATGCTTTCTCTACTAATGCAAAAATATGCCGGGCATGGTGGTGCACACCTGTAATCCCAGCTACTCAGGACACTGAGGCAGGAGAATCACTTGAACCTCAGAGGTGGAGATTGCAGTGAACTGAGATCACACCACTGCACTCCAGCCCAGGACAGAACAAGACTCTCTAAAAAAAAAAAAAAAAAAAAAAAAGTAAGTAAGTCAGTATAGAAAATACATACAAATTTATTGACTTATTTTTCTGGGCTGAACATTCCCAATCAAAAGGCAAAACAAAGTAAATATGTGTAATGTCCATGTCAAAATTAGAGCCTTAAAAATACATTGAAAGTTGAATGAGGAAATTTGATCACAGCAACAATGAACAAGTGTCTTCAGTCATTGATATTTGATAAGATTATAGGTCTATAATCTCATTATTAATTCCAGAGTCCAAAAACTTCTGAAAAACCAAAACAGTTTTATAACTTATTTGGAAACAAGACCTGATATAAACAGATGTGTGGCTATTTACAGCTTTTATCTTACTTTATCAAACTTAGTATGATATATTGTTATATGTTTCCTTACAGAGATAGTTATTAGTTTGAGTACAGGGCACTTCCCTAGACCCTACTGAGAATTTATATAATTTATGGTGTATGTACTCTACTAACATTGTAATGTCTGAAAATTATGAATATCAAAACATATGTGTCAGCAAAGAATTTATAAAGGAAACTGTTGACCTGCTCAGAATATTGATGTAAAATAAACTACAGGAATCAGTAGTCATTTTTCTACACTGAAAAGACCTTTGACTCAGGTTTCCCTGAGTTGGTGAAAGAACCCAATTGGCAGATGAAGGCACACTTCAGCCATCATAGGGAGTAGTTCATCTGAACTCACCAAAAGAGTGTACCTAAATAAGCAGTTAACAACAGAAATCTGGAAAATACTGCTTTTCCATTCTTAATGGCACTTTGGAGCTCCAAAATACTGGAAAATACTATTGCTGTATGAAACCAGAAATATATGTAAATTCAGCCCTCAAAATATTGTGACAACAAAGTGAAGAAAATACATTACCTGAAACATGAATATGATATATTCATTCATTCAATTAGCAACTATTACAAAATGCTTAAAGTGTGTCTGGCACTGCTTCAGGTGCTGAAAATGCAGTGGTGACATGGACATTTGCCTTAATTTTTTTACTATGCGGCATGTTCTGAAGAGCTTCCTTATGTTTAGGAGATGGATTTCCTAGGTCAGAGCTGCTCTTCTCAAATTAGAAGTCTGCAACTTGCTCTTCTAGACGCTCTTCATCTAGGGCTCGTGTATGTCACTTACAATTTGCTAAACAGATGAACTCACCCAAGACTTTTGTCCAGAAGGAACAACTAGAGGAAGAAAACACTGAAAGGGACATTTTTCTAAATGTTTTAGCTGTGGAGTCATTGCCAGTAGCTGAGAAGTTGGAGTTCCCGAAGCAGCAAGTGATCAGTATATAAACTGTGGTTATCTGACTCCCCTGGCAACAGAGGTGGGATCTTTATTAGAGCATCCCTACTGTGAGGTTCCTGGTGGCTTAGCCTCCAAGTCTAATGATCTTGCCCTTTGGAGAGTCCATAAGCAAAGTTTCAGCTTTTAATAAATTTATTACTTTCTGTGATACCTATGTGTTTCTGCAATTAACAACTCTGAATCATATAAAAAGTGAAAAAAAGTTTCTGACCTCATTGGCTGGCATTCTAGGAGGGCAAACTGATGAATTCTTAAACTGATCAGTACCAGACATTTTTTCAAAAAGAGGATGGATAGTGAATGAGGGGATACCATTTTAAAAGGCAAGGGCAGACCTCCCAGAGAAGATAGCATTTAAAACTAAGTGAGATGTGACAGAGAAGAGGGAGTTAGCCACGGAGATAGGGAGTTAGCTATCTAGCAGAGAACACTTAAATGCAAAGTTGCTGAGGTGGGACTTTGCTTAGAATATCTGAAGAACAGCAAGAAAGTTAATGTGGCTGGACTAAGTCCAGATAAATTTAGATAAAATTAGGTCTGAGGGATAGCTAGGGGTCAGAATTATGTAGATCATTGTAGACCATAGCATAGATAGGTGATTGGTTGATTGTTAGATAGATAGATAGGTAGGTAGGTAGGTAGATAGATAGATAGGTAGGTAGGTAGATAGATAGATAGATAGATAGATAGATAGATAGATATGGTGAGTATTCAGCCTGTTTTACAAAATCCTTAGAATCAACCTAATAATATAATGCTCATTAATCAAAGTGACAAGTTAGAACATTTAGTTTTGTGGCTTTTTATTAACATAATTTAAAAATAGTTTTATATTAAAATAAAGAGAAACATAGTAGAATGCTGATTTTGCAGGAATTTGAAAGTTATTACGTGAGTCCCTAAGGATAGTTTAAATTTGTGGACAATTTAGATTAAGTTTCCCAACCTCTTATTTGTACGGTATCTTTTGCAATTAGGTAAACTAAGTTAAAAAGTTTAAGAACTATATTGTTAAGCAACATACATTCAGAAAAATGAGTCAGTTTTTTTTAGATAAACATTTCCTCTTTTTTAGTTTTATACATTTAGTGAATAGAAGTGCAGATTTATTACATGTGTACATTGTGTAGCAGTGAAGTCTGGGCTTTTCGTGTACTCATCACCTGAATAGTGAACATTGTCCC
Source organism: Homo sapiens (assembly GCF_000001405.40). NCBI lineage: Eukaryota > Metazoa > Chordata > Mammalia > Primates > Hominidae > Homo > Homo sapiens. The sequence continues at coordinate 89,397,798 of NC_000007.14, forward strand.
CAACAGGTGATTTTTCAATCTTCCCCCACATCCTCCCCTCCCACCTTTTGTAGTCTCCAATGTCTCTTATTCCACTCTGTGTGTCCATGTGTACCCATTGTTAACTCCCATTTATAAGTAACAGCATGAAGTATTTGACTTTCTATTTCTGAGTTATTTTACTTAAGAAACTGGCCTCTAGTTCCGTCCATCTTACTGCACAAGACATGATTTCATTCTCTCCTTTGGCTGACTAGAATAAAAATTTAAATTAATTTATAAAGATGCACTTGCCTATTTAAAATAAGTGTGGTCTAGTGAAAGAGTACAGACCTTCAAGTCACTCAGTCCTGGATTCAAATTTTGTTCTGCCCCTTATTGCTCATGTGATCATGGTGAAAGTTACTTAAATATTCCTCACTCTAGTTTCCTATTTGTAAAATTAGAAAAAATAAAACTTAACACACAAAATTGTTATATATATCAAATTAAATAAGGCAACTTTTTTTTTTTTTTTTTTTTTGAGATGGAGTCTTTCTCTGTATCCCAGGCTGGAGTGCAATGGCACGATCTCGGCTCACTGCAACCTCTGCCTCCCAAGTTCAAGCAATTCTCCTGCCTCAGCCTCCCAAGTAGCTAGGATTACAGGCACCCGCCATCATGCCCGGCTAATTTTTGTATTTTTGTAGAGACGGAGTTTCACCATGTTGGCCAGGCTGGTCTCGAACTCCTGACCTCAGGTGATACACCGGATAATGCAGCATTTCTAAGGCACTAAGAAGCTTTCCATAAGTCATGCAACAAATATGTTAATTTCCTTTCTTTATTACATTTAATTTTTTATCTTTCGATATCCAGTTTGTTTCACAGCATAGCTAAAGAGCCAGAAGGGAAAGGAGAAAAAGATGCTTGGAATAACATTTATGCTAACTAACTACAGTGACAAAAATAAAAGACTGGTTTACCAAGAAACCTCTCTGAGAGTCTCTATATCATATCCTGAAAGCTTCATGTCTCTTGATAAATTCACAGGTTTTGAGTTTGTTGAATTTAGCATCTCACCTTCTTTAGTGCTTCCTATCTCTCCAAAGCACCTGGAGATATAAAAGCCAACAAGAATAAAACAACCTGCCTCTTTTACCTGACAGTAGGATGGAAATAAACTCAAGATAATTGGCTTTTAAGATAGCTAGTAGGTACGTTTATGTAAACATCATAGAGTTTTAGAAAGTACCAGTGACTGGAAAAGCTCAGAAGCTAACATCAAGGTCACACCACTCCAGAACAAACTAGGAAATACATATTTGGAGATGTGTTGGCCATCTAGAACTACAGCCAGCTAGAAACTGATAAATAAAGGTACCAAAAATAGGGATCAGAAGGGTTACACAATGATGTGTGTAGAAAAGAGGTCACAATCAGAAATGTAAGAAATTAAAATTTAATGCCAAAAGACAAATTTGTTGAATATTTCAGTGCAGTAGGAAATATGTGAGAGAGGACAAATGAAAAGAATCTTCAGTGAAATAGTGTGATTAGTAGATTTTTTCACAGTTAATAGGCAGCAAATGGAGAACATTACTAGTGCAAGGAGGACTTAGTGAAGGTTATGTACTACTTTAACAGACAAAAAAAAAGCTCAGAATACGAACACAATTCCTCAGCAAAAGAACAGTAGGGAAGTATTGGTGTTGAACCTAGAGGCCTGTGTATATGAGTATCCACCGGGAATGGCTGATTCGTGTTTCATTTTGCTAACAAAGCATAAATCAGTGAGCTTATTTTGCAATGCAGTATTTTCAGTGTACTGGAATCATTACATGTACTGGTTCAAATTCTGCCTCCTCTGCTTAACTACCACTATGGCCTTGGGCCACAGATTCAGTTTCTTCAACTTCCTTTGTAGAATGGAAATAATAATCCCTATCATATAGCATATAAGAGGCAACTGATATATTATTTACTTCAGTAATTATGTTATTTTAGTACTGATAAAAGTCAATATATGAACATCTTTTTTTCTCACAAACCTACATATCAACCACATTCAGATATCCCTGTATATTATTAGCTCTTTTATATCTAACTAAAACATGAACAGCAAGAACATCAAACTAGAAGGCCTAAGGAAAGGATATGGTCTTTACTCAAAACATTTATTGCTAGTGCTTCTGCATGAAATGATTAAGACCTTGCTTTACATATAGGTCTAAATGTATTATCAGTTCAAATAAATCCCACTTAAATTTAAAGTGTTATTTATTTTCTTTTCTATAAGAAATATATAAGTTATTTGATCCTCCAATTCCCTACCAGTGCCAGACATTTCAGTAGCTATTCTGGGCATTAAATATCCTCCTAGGTTTAACTGCTCTCAGTTAAAGGAATTATTTCAAAGGTGTTGAGTTCAGAAAAGAGGCTCCCTCTGAAGTATTCAAAGGATAGTGGTGCTAAAATATGCAGTGTTTATAAGGTTTCAGGCCAGCGAATTTTTCATCGGCCTTCTGAGAACACAGTAGGATTTTATCATTTCATATCTCTATTTTGAGATCTCTCAGCAATCAGTATTGTGGGTCCTATTTTTGATCAATCAACCTCCCTATTGGTTTGTGCCAGGAATTGAGGATAGTTGCTAGGCTGACAAATGTTCTTGGGGTTTAAATTTGGTGAATATTTACTCTCTAACAAAAAGAACACAGATACTACATTCAGTTCCCACTTTTTGCTCTTGATTAGGAAATAATTATAGCTTCTGAATTTATACAGTGATTTAAACATTTTCCCACCAGGGTGCTGGCATTCTGGGAAAAAAGAACATATAATGTTTGATTTCAGGCTATCCTGTGAGTCTGGATTTTAAAAGTAGAGTCACCCTCTGCACCAGTTTATTGAGTATGCAGTAACTAACAACAGCTGCTCTGTGTGAAAACTGAAGGACAAGCATGCAGTTGGTCAGCTTGATACCACCACCCATGGTCGTTTAAATAAATGAGGGGAACAAAATTAGTTTTGCCACGACTTAGGCAAAAATGGATACTGTCTAATGCTCTATGTGAAAATAGAGTCAGTAATCTGCTATTTGAAATTTTACTGACATTTAGACATTTATTGAAGACAATTTTACTTTATCATCAACAGAAAAATTTGTGTAGAGCTGCAAATGGCCTGACTAGACAAAGTCTTCTCTCCTAAAGGGTTAGTGCCAAAAAGTGAATAAATAACTGTCATTTCAAGGATTGGTGCCATGTTAGAGTTCTCTTGCTGGGGAGGAAATTGAGAACAGTCTCAGGTGAAAAGAGAGGAACAACCATGGCAATATTATATGGCTTTGTTGACCCAGCTAGCACAAAGCAATGGTTTTAAATGTGTTTTCTAAACAAATTCAACTAATCATTTCCATTCATCCATTTTGTAGGATGGATAGATTTCAAAACAAATTGCCACTTGGATAGCTTAGCTCACAGGAAGAGTATGCTCTGGACCCTGAGGAATGAGTGAGGAGCCAATTGTTAAGATTATTCCTTTGCCTACATTTTTCAGGATGTGTGTCACTATCCACTCTGCATTTAGACAGCTCTCAAACTGGGCAATAGTCACAGTGTATACTGCATGGGTTTTAAATTAGGATAAAATGTTAGAAGCTTCCTCAGCTTCATGGCCAGGAGAAAATAAATTTGCCCATGCCAGACAGAGATGGCCACAGTTTGATTAAGGGACTTTAAAAAGTTAAGAGAAGTATCCGAAATTTGCAAAGCACCCACTCAAGGGAATTACATGGCAGTGCTCATGAAAATAATATGAAACACCCTGCAAAGCTTTTCACTAAGCTTTGACCTTATCACTTGCTCTTTAACTTACTTCTGGAAACTAATGCTGTGGAAAAAAATAGGAGAAGGTACTTGAACAAACAGCTTAAATTATATTGTCCAAAAGTTCCTTACACAGTCCAAACACCTTCAAAACCTAGAGTTTCTTGGCTTTAGCATTGAGCAATAATCTTGCCTGATAAACGGATATATACTGATATTACCTAATAGCTGAAAATGTTTTTACTCAGTTACCAAATAATCATTAGTGCAGAATAGATGTGAGGCCTATTTTCGGTGTCAGCCAGAAGCACTGTTTACTCCTCCACACTTCCAAAAATTCCTCTGTTCTATCTTCCCGCTTGAGCTTGCGTTTTATTTAAATGTTTGTAATACATGCTGACACACAAAAAAATGTTGTTTACTTCAACTTACTCTAATTGTGGCTGTCCACCAAGAACAAATCAAATTTCTCAGTTTCTGTGAAATAAGCCTCTTGCTCTTTCTCATCTTATTTTTAACTTTTGACAATAAAAATGCATGCATATGAACTTGATCAAAGCAATAACTAGGAAAAATGAACTAGCAACCCTGGATCTAAACCTGACTCCTACTCACATTTCTAGCCCTCAATATCTTTTATATAAAATAAAATGATCTATATTAGAATGGTATCTAAAGTCCTTTTCAGCTATGAAATTTCACAAGTCTTTCATTAGACTTTCATCATCTGTGTATACACAGAAAACAATAATATCTTGCCTTTTGCAAGTTCTATAGTTTTTTTATTTTAATAATCATCCAATTCATCTTTCTTAAAAACCAGCCTCCTTGAAATTAAACTGACATGGATTAATATCTCACTTATACTCTAATGACAGAAAAAACTTTAAAATTTTTGGAAAGAAATCATTAAGAAAAATTTACATGTAAGAGAACATATATATTCTATATCAGTAAATATATAGGTGTGATACAGATCTGTGTCTATAATTATATAGACAACTATATCAGGATATATACCTTATCAGAAAACAGACTGAAAATATATCAATACAATAAAACTTAAAATGTACTAACTAGATAAAGCCAAGAACTGATGACTACTGAGAAATAAATAAAATGGTATTATGAATGAATTTGCATTGTTCTAACTACATCACATATTTCCAATGACAGCTTCACATTGATTTAATATTGGCCAGGCCAAGACTGGAAGAAGAATGTGTTGTCCTGGACCCTAGAAAACCACATCTGATTGTTATTGTGAATTGTATTTCATATGGCTGTAATTATTCTGAATTGTGTTCACTAATTTCTTGTCACAAAAAAATGCTTAAAATACAGTAAGAAATGGGCTTAAGCAGATTTTAAATGGATTAGTAAAAGCACTAGAGTATTACTTCTATTTTTAAAGAAATACCATGTATTTTGGAATCGTGAAGAACTGTGTCAGCACATTTTTAAACCACTAGGCTTTTGTTGTTGTTGTTGCTTTTCTTTCCAATTCCAGCTTTTTATTATTTTTTTAAATTTTATTTTAAGTTCAGGGTTACAAGTGTGGGTTTGTTACATAGGTAAATTTGTGTCATAGGGCTTTGTTGTACAAATTATTTAATCACCCAGGTATTAAGCCTAGTATCCATTAGTTATGTTTCCTGATCTCTCCCTCCTCTCACCCTCCACCCTCCGAAAGGCCACGGTATGTGTTGTTCCCCTCTACATGTCCACGTGTTCTCATGATTTAGTTCTCACTTGTAAGTGAGAATATGCAGTATTTTGTTTTCTGTTCTTGTGTTAGTTTGCACTTGTAAGTGAGAACATGCAGTATTTGGTTCTCTGTTCCTGTGTTAGTTTGCACTTGTAAGTGAGAACATGCAGTATTTGGTTCTCTGTTCCTGTGTTAGTTTGCTAAGGGTAATGGCCTGCAAAGGATGTGATCCCACTCTTTTTTATGGCTGCATATTATTCCATGATGTGTATGGACCACATTTTCTTTATCCAGTCTTTATTTTCTTTATCCAGTCTATCATTTAGTTTGATTCCATGTCTTTGCTATCGTGAATAGTGATGCAGTAAACGTACATGTGCATGTGACTTTATGATAGTATGATTTATATTCCTTTGGGCATATACCCAGTAATAGGATTGCTAGGTCAAATGGTATTTCTATCTTTAGGTCTTTGAGGAATCACCACACTGTCTTCCACAATGACTGAACTAATTTACACTCCCACCAACAGTGAATAAGTGGTCTTTTTTCCTCCACAACCTTGCCAGCATCTGTTATTTTTTGACTTTTATATGATAGTCTTTCTGACTGGTGTTAGATGGTACCTCACTGGGGTTTGGATTTGTATTTCTCTACAGATCAGTGATGTTGAGCTTTTTCATACGTTTTTGTTTAAAAATAAAATTAGAAATCGAAGACAAAAATAAATGTGGTGAACGGTGTAAGTCAGTTTATTCTGTAATTATAGGGGGATGTTTCAGTATGCTGTAATTCCTATCCTATAGAACAGCAGTCCATGGTCCCCAAACTTTTTGGCTCATAAGGAGCACACAACCTAGATCCCAGGCATGCACAGTTCATAATAGGGTTTGTGCTTCTATGAGAATCTAATGCCACAGCTGATCTGACAGGAAGTAGAGCTCAGGCAGTAATGCTCCCTTGCCCACCCCTCATCTCTTGCTGTGTGACCCGGTTTCTAACAAGCCACGGACCATTTTCAGTCTTGCAGCCTAAGGGTTGGGGACCCTTGCTATAGAAGGCAATTAGTATGGGGTTAATACCAGATGAACAAGAAAGATAACATCAGGCAAATAAAACACACAGTAAAACAATGTATATAACAGCACAATGGTTTTATTGACGGCAGAAGAAAAAAAATTTCCTTTGACTTGTAAAAAGAATTTGTTTTATTTAACTCAGTATTTTTCCCATTCTTTGTGTGAGTTGAATCTTCTTTTTTCACTCTAAAATATGTTTTTTCTTTCTACAAGTAATACTATCCACCATAGCTGCTACTTATTCTGAAGAGAAAGTAGAGAGGTCTATCAACAGGTTTTGACCAGAATGTTTCAGTCAATGGCTCCTTTCTTCACATAAACTCTATTTTAACTAGAAAGGAAGAAAATGAAGTTGAACCCTCAAATTAACTTTTTCATACTGTGTCAAGATACATTTCTGCTGAAACTTATCTGCAAACGTGAAGTGTTTGCATAAATATAAATAAATCTCTGATAGAATAAATTTTGGACACTGCTGTCAAAAGCAAGCAAGAAGGAACGAAGGAAGGGAGGAAGGGAGGGAGGGACGGAGGGAAGGGAGGGTGGGGGAAAGGGGAGAGAGGGAGGGAGGGGGAAGGGGAGAGAGGGAAGGGGGAGGGGAGGGACGGAGGGAAGGAAAGAAGGAAAAGTTTCTGAGGCAAAAACTTATAACCTGAAGGTTTAATAGGGTAGATGAGAAAACAATCCCTGGAAGTAAACATCAATGATAAAAGAAAGAGAGACTATAATGGAAGGAGAGAAAATACCCATTGGTTTGCTACCATTCAGACCACAGCTTCAAGAGGCAGTACAGTTGATAGCTGTAAGTTGTGAGTTGTTTCCAGAGAAACTGTGAAAGTCCATTGCATTGATCTATTGGATGCTGAAGTAAGTAGGGAAGGAAGGCTAGTGAATTACTGGTTCTTTTTTGTCCATTTTTCCTACTGGTAAAAGGCAAGCTCATAGGTTAACTGTCCTGTAGCTGCAGGTTGTGTTTCCTGGGTTCCCTAGGCAGCTGTGGAAGAAATGAGGGTTCCAGTGGTCCAGTGAAGTCAGTATGTGGTTCTGTGGACTCCTCCAAGTATGTGTGTAAATGTGTGTGTATGCTGGTTGGGGGATATTTCATCTGTTTTGATGGTGGTGGTGATGACAGCAGTGGCAATAACCTAAGCTTTATGGTTGAAGTAATTTCATCAGTCATTCCTAATGCCATTCGGGCCAGGAAGGAAAGCAATCTGCCAAGTCCTGAGGGTCAGGGGAAGTCAGGTAGAATCAGAGGGCAGAAACTCATTTTCGCTCTCACTCTTTAGTGATCTTCAGATCTCACATAAGAACACTTTGCATTCAATTCTTGCCTAGGAGGGGAGGTGCAAATCTAATTCTTCAAGGTGATAATTAGTTGCAATCTCCTAAAAAAAACTAAAGAGGACTAGAAACCAAGCCATGTTCAAACTATTGCAGGTGGTACAGAATAGATGTTTCTCATCATTCTTCTTCACTCAGACTCCCTAGATTCCCCTCACTCCCTCTCAGCCCTTCAGCAGGTCAGGAGATGACGTATCTTTCTTTCTTTTTTGTTTATTATACTTTAAGTTCTAGGGTACATGTGCACAACGTGCAGGTTTGTTACATATGTATACATGTGCCATGTTGGTGTGCTGCACCCATTAACTCGTCATTTACATTAGGTATATCTCCTAATGCTATCCCTCCCCCTGCCCCCCACTCCCTGACAGGCCCTGGTGTGTGATGTTCCCTTTCCTGTGTCCGAGTGTTCTCATTGTTCAATTCCCACCTATGAGTGAGAACATGCAGTGTTTGGTTTTCTGTCCTTGCGATAGTTTGCTGAGAATGATGGTTTCCAGCTTCATCCATGTCCGTACAAAGGACATGAACTCATCATTTTTTATGGCTGCACAGTATTCCATGGTGTATATGTGCCACATTTTCTTAATCCAGTCTATCATTGGTGGACATTTGGGTTGGTTCCAAGTCTTTGCTATTGTGAATAGTGCCACAATAAACATATGTGTGCATATGTCTTTATAGCAGCATGATTTATAATTCTTTGGGTATATACCCAGTAATGGGATGGCTGGGTCAAATGGTATTTCTAGTTCTATATCCCTGAGGAATGGCCACACTGTCTTCCACAATGGTTGAACTAGTTTACAGTCCCACCAACAGTGAAAAAGTGATCCTATTTCTCCACATCCTCTCCAGCACCTGTTGTTGCCTGACTTTTTAATGATCGCCATTCTAACTGGTGTGAGATGGTATCTCATTGTGGTTTTGATTTGCATTTCTCTGATGGCCAGTGATGGTGAGCATTTTTTCATGTGTCTTTTGGCTGCATAAATGTCTTCTTTTGAGAAGTGTCTGTTCATATCCTTTGCCCACTTCTTGATGGGGTTGTTTGTTTTTTTCTTGTAAATTTGTTGGAGTTCATTGTAGATTCTGAATATTAGCTTTTTGTCAGATGAGTAGATTGCAAAAATTTTCTCCCATTCTGTAGGTTGCCTGTTCACTCTGATGGTAGTTTCTTTTGCTGTGCAGAAGCTCTTTCATTTAATTAGATCCCATTTGTCAATTTTGGCTTTTGTTGCCATTGCTTTTGGTGTTTAAGACATGAAGTCCTTGCCCATGCCTATGTCTTCAATGGTATTGCCTAGGTTTTCTTCTAGGGTTTGTATGGTATTAGGTCTAACGTTTAAGTCTTTAATCCATCTTGAATTAATTTTTGTATAAGGTGTAAGGAAGGGATCCAGTTTCAGCTTTCTACACATGGCTAGCCAGTTTTCCCAGCACCATTTGTTAGGTAGGGAATCCTTTCCCCATTTCTTGTTTCTGTCAGGTTTGTCAAAGATCAGATAGTTGTAGGTGTGTGGTATTATTTCTGAGGGCTCTGTTCTGTTCCATTGGTCTATATCTCTGTTTTGGTACCAGTACCATGCTGTTTTGGTTACTGTAGCCTTGTAGTATAGTTTGAAGTCAGGTAGCATGATGCCTCCAGCTTTGTTCTTTTGGCTTAGGATTGACTTGGCAATGCGGGCTCTTTGTTGGTTCCGTATGAACTTTAAAGTAGTTTTTTCCAATTCTCTGAAGAAAGTCATTGGTAACTTGATGGGGATGGCATTGAATCTATAAATCACCTTGAGCAGTATGGCCATTTTCATGATATTGATTCTTCCTATCCATGAGCATGGAATGTTCTTCAATTTGTTTGTATCCTCTTTTATTTCATTGAGCAGTGGTTTGTAGTTCTCCTTGAAGAGCTCCTTCACATCCCTTGTAAGTTGGATTCCTAGGTATTTTTATTCTCTCTGAAGCAATTGTGAATGGGAATTCACTCATGATTTGGCTCTCTGTTTGTCTGTTATTGGTGTATAAGAATGCTTGTGATTTTTGCACTTTGATTTTGTATCCTGAGACTTTGCTGAAGTTGCTTATCAGCTTAAGGAGATTTTGGGCTTACACAATGGGGTTTTCTAGATATACAATCATGTCATCTGCAAACAGGGACAATTTGACTTCCTCTTTTCCTAATGAATACCTTTATTTCTTTCTCCTGCCTGATTGCCCTGGCCAGAACTTCCAACATTATGTTGAATAGGAGTGGTGAGAGAGGGCATCCCTGTCTTGTGCCAGTTTTCAGAGGGAATGTTTCCAGTTTTTGCCCATTCAGTATGATATTGGCTGTGGGTTTGTCATAGATAGCTCTTATTATTTTGAGATACGTCCCATCAATCCCTAATTTATTGAGAGTTTTTAGCATGAAGGGCTGTTGAATTTTGTGAAAGGCCTTTTCTGCATCTTTTGAGATAATCATGTGGTTTTTGTCTTTGGTTCTCTTTATATGCTGGATTACATTTACTGATTTGCATATGTTGAACCAGCCCTGCATCCCAGGGATGAAGCCCACTTGATCATGTGGATAAGCTTTTTTATGTGTTGCTGGATTCAGTTTGCCAGTATTTTATTGAGGATTTTTGCATTGATGTTCATCAGGGATATTGGTCTAAAATTCTCTTTTTTTGTTGTGTCTCTGCCCAGCTTTGGTATCAGGATGATGCTGGCCTCATAAAATAAGTTAGGGAGGATTCCTTCTTTTTCTATTGATTGGAATGGTTTCAGAAGGAATGGTACCAGCTCCTCCTTGTACCTCTGGTAGAATTCAGCTGTGAATCCGTCTGGTCCTGGACTTTTTTTGGTTGGTAAGCTATCAATTATTTCCTGAATTTCAGAGCCTGTTTTTGGTCTATTCAGAGATTCAACTTCTTTTTTCTTAATGTATTTGAGGCCTTCCTTGCCTTGCCTTTGTTGGGCTGTGGCTGCTGAAATATTTCACTCACAATTATCAATGGTCATAGAAGAACCAAAAGACACATTGGTGAATACCCTAGGATAAGAACATACTCTACTATCCCTCCATTGTGTAATAACAAACTTATCCAGCCTTACATTCCTGCTTCATAACCTTCAGTTAGATCCATTTCCTCACATGTTTCCCTGGTTACTGCTGCCATATACTAATCAGGCATTTCATTTCTTTGCTGTTTAAGTTTTTTCTCCCCAAAGCAAAGTCTATTCTTCTCTTTTTGGATTGTGAGGAGATTTGATCATTGGCCCCTCATTTGGTCCTGGGGCCAATGAGGGATATTGGGGACTGATTATTTTGAGAACAAACATTATCTTTTTACACTCCTACTTAGGTCAATTCGGTAGACAGTCCCTAGAAAACGGCAAGCTGTTCTCCTATGACAAGTTGTTTTAGGGCTGTCTCTACTGACCAAGAAGATTAAAGAAAATTTAGTAAGTTGATATTCCCAGGTTCATTTATCTAAACACAACTACCCCAGGTTTTAGGGTCTCACTCTTTCTCTATCAAGGCCCTAGTTTGATGTAGGAAACTTACTAAGAGGACACCTTTCATCTCCTCTACAATTTTCCCATTCTATGTTCAGATCTGAGACTTGATCTTTAGCACAATCTACCAGAGGAACAATATATAAACAAACAACTCCTTGAAAGCTCCCATAAAGACTCTTTGGTTTTCATAGAAAACAGCTGTTGTTAGACTGTCATTTTTATCTTTCTCAAAGTTTCCAACATTACTAAAAGCTCAGTTATTATTGTCCCCATAATGATCAATGTAGCAGCTGCTTGTATTCCAGCACTTTACTTACCTGTACTCCATTCCAATTAACCCCAGCTCAAGGTGTGAATAATTATGATATCTCTGAACACCAAAAATTATTATCCTCCCCGACTTACCATGAGCTTTGTGATTGCTTTTGCCTTCAAACAGGCAGGGAATCCAATTCCAAAATACCCTCCTGAAGGATGTGTGCTGTCTAGAACTAGTCTAGGATTTCCTCAAACACAGAGCCTGAGGAAAAGAATAAGAGCAAAGAGGGAAGTGAAACAAAGAGGAAGAGTAAATACAAAAGGTGTCTAATGGAGTTGACAGCATCACCAGAAAAACAGCTGGTTGGTTCAGATGTGAACAGCTGATATGTTCACAGGGAACATATCCAGAGACACAGCATAAAACCCCCATGTAGTAGTCTGCTTAGGCTGCCAAAAGAAAATACCACTGACTAGATGGCTTCAACAACAGAAGTTTATTTTGTCACAGCTCTGAAGGCTGGAAGTCCAAGATCAAGATGTCAGCAGGTTTGATTTCTCCCGAGGCTCTCTCCTTGGCTTGCAGATGGCCACCTTCTCACTGTGTTCTCACATGGCCTTTCCTCTGAGTGTGTGCATCCCTAGTGTCTTTTTCTTTCTATGAGGACACCAATCATATGGGACTAAAGCCCCACCTTTGTGACCTCATTTAGCCTTCATTGCCTCCTTAAAGTCCCTGTCTCCAAATACAGTCATATTGGAGGTTAGAGCTTCATAATATGAATTTGTGGGGGAGGGATTCAATTCAGTCTAGAACCTCCACTTCTCAAAACAGTCTGTTTTGTATATGTGAGGGAGTAGTGGTGAGGTTGAGAGGACACATCAAGAGAAAGTTCAAGCAATTCAACTATTGCATATTCCTTATTTCCTGTGTCTCATTGAGCAATGTCGGCCACATAAGCATTAACTCCCCACACTTTGAGGCCTATCTGGGCAGACTTTGAAGAGGACAGAAACTTTATGGGTCTATTCATCAAGTCCTCATTTGTAACAATAATTGTTTTCAATTAATGCTGTTTATCAGGCTCTATGGTCTCTAGCAGTGCTAAGGCTGTAATTAATTAGGAAGAAAGCCAAGAAGGCCTGGAGGAGGAAACTGGTAGAAAAGGGAACTGGAAGGGTGAAAATATATAGTATTGGAGAGCTAATAGTATATTTTTTCTGGATTGATAAGTTTTATCATTACATCAGATAATATGTTTGACTTTTAATGATTTGAGATATTAGACATTTCATTCTAAATGAAGCCAAACTAGCAACTTGTAATGGAGAACTCATATGACATAGTCTATGCTGATGATACAAATCTCTGAAATAATGTTTCTGTGGGATATGGGAAAATTAGCTGTTAGACTGCCAATTTGTGCAACTTGGGAATATTTGGCTACAGGAGAGCTTGTAAAGCGGTAGTCCTTGGTATTGTCCTTCAAAGCTAGGGGTGAAGGGGTATGAGGAAAGCTCTTATTTTTACAAAGTATTATGTACTTTTCTTGTCCCTTTTCGAAAATTATCTGAACTTACAATTTTAGAGATAGAACAAATGATTACTGGGTTAAAGACTGGATATCCTTAGAAGCATGCATAATGACATATAATAAAGTGAATATAGATCTTTTTTGTTTTCATTGCAGATTTTTGGCCCTGGACTCTTATACTTTCAAGGATAGTCATAAGGGTTTTAGTCATTTTTTAACCAGGATCAGCTGAGACAGTGATAGCAGAGCATTACACCAAGTGCGAGGCCTTCTAAGTTCAGGGACTTGTGCAATTGCAAAGGACATGCAATCATGAAGCTGGCCTTGTCTACAACATCATTTATTGCAAAATAAAGAACAAGAAACAAGTATTTTTACTATTTCACACAGAAAATATGTATTTGTACAAAGAAAGTAGAAAATATATTATTTTGAACAAAGTAAAAATTAATATAAACAATCTTTCCCCATATATCAAAATTTAAACAGTCAATATTTAAACTTTAATTCAGAAAATGACAACATAATTTATTAATATTTTAATACTATATCATATTTAGTTGTTTTCTTCATACACGATTGCAGTTTAGGAACATATATACATATCATACATATCATTAAGTAAAACTGGAATATCTAACATGTTCTGATATAATTTTTATGATAGATATAATAGAGTACTTCTCATATATCCCACACCCAGCTTTCCCTATTATGAATATCTTACAATATTATGCTACATTGGTTAAAATTAGTTAACTGAAAGATGGAATGAAGGAAAATTAGCTTACATTGATACATAAGTATTAACTAAAGCCCATACTCTATTCAGATAGCCTTAGTTTTTACCCAATGTCCTTTTTCTGTTCCAGGATTCTATCTAGGATACCCTATGACACATAGTTGCCAAGTCTCTTTATGTTCATCTTAACTGTGACAGTTTTTCAGACTTTTTTTTTTTGGTTTTGATAACCTTGACGATTTTGAGGAGTACTTATCAGATATTTTGAAGGATGCCCCTCTACTGCAATTTTTCTGATGTTTTTACTCATGATTAGACTGGAGTTAGGGTTTGGGGAAGAATATCATAGACATAAAGTGCCACCGTCATCATATCATATCTAAGATAGATGCTAAAGGGATGATTTACAACTGTTAATGTTGACCTTAATCACTGATGTGCCATAATGTTTTTTAGGTTTCTCCACTGTAAGGTCATTTTTCCTCCCCTTTCCATGTAGTACTCTTTGAAAGGAAGTCACTATGCATAACCCACGCTTGAGAGGAGAGGAGTCACGTTCCACCTCCTTAAGGCAGAATAATACCTAGGTAGATTTATTCTGTCACTTTCCCCTATTTATCTATTTATGTATTAGTAATCTATGCTTCTATTAATCCATTTTTTATTTCTGTCAGTATGGCTTCATTCCAGCAGAGAGAAATCTGACTCCCAGTGTCCACCATCCATTTGTTCTCCTCAATTCCAGTGTGCACAGGAGCAATACAAAAATCATTAACCCATACCCCCATAGGAACAACTTTATCAACAAAATTATAATGTCTATGTACAGTTACTTCTGCCTTTAGTTTCACAGCCTCTACTCATTTACAAAATTACTTAGGTTGCCACGTTTTCTTCCAATCCCCTTAAGTAAGGCTGCATTATACTTTTGTACTAGGCATATTATTTTATCACATTTTACATCTCATCCTGGGATTCCCCCATACCTCCTGAAAATAGTGTTTTTTTAAATTGTCATATATTAAAGCTCACTCTTTGCATTTTAAATTCTATGGGTTTTTATAAATTCATAGTTTCATGTATTTGCCGTAAGAACATAACACAGAATAAATTCAGTTTCCATAAAATTTAGTTTTTTATCTTTTCAACCATCTTAACTCCCATCTGAACCTCTGGCAACAACTGACTGGATATAATTTATTTAGTTTTGCCTTCTCTACAGTGCCATATAATTGGTCCCATCTAGTATGCAGCTTTTTCAGACTAGCTCTTTCACTTAGCAACATGTACTTAACATGCATCCATGTCTTTTCATAACTTGAGAACTCATTTACTTTTGTCTCTAAATAATATTTCATTTTATGGCCAACCATATTTTATTAATTAGTTGATGATTATTTGGATTATATCCACTTTTTGCCTGTTATAAATAATGTTGCTATGGACATTCATGTAAAAGTATTTGTGAGGACATACATTTATATTTCTTATGGATATGTAACTAGGAGTAGAATATATAACTGGATCATATGGTAACTCTATGTTGAACCATTTGAGGAACTGCCAGATTGTTTCCCAAAGTGGCCACATCATTTTATATTCTACCTATCTACAAATATGAAATATATCTCAAATATTTAGGTCTTCTTGGATTTATTTTGTCAGTGTTTTATAGCTTTCTGCATATAGAAAGCTATATATATTTTAATTTTATACGACAAGATTTCAAAGTTTTGGTGCTATTTAAATTTTCTTCCTTTTAGTTTCAAGTTCTCATATTTTGCTGCTGGTGTATAGGCAAGCAATTGAATCTTATATGTTGACCTTTCACTAGGTCAGTTTACCACACGCACTCATTAGTTCCAGAAGTTTTTGTAGATGCATAGACAATTATGTCATATGCCAACAAAGATAATTTTATATTTTCCTTTCTAAATGTTATGTCTTTTATTTCTTTTTTCTTGTCTTACTTCAGTAGATAGGACTTCCACTATGACATTGGGTAGGAGTCGTAAGGGAATGCATCCTTGCCTTATTACTGATCTTAGGTGAAAAGAGAATATTTTCTCACCATTAAGCCTGTTGATATGGAAAATTACATTGAGTTTTTTTCAGTATTAAACCTGGAATAAACTCCATTTAGTTGTGGAGTAAAATTATTTTTGTATCTTTTTGGATGTGATTTGTTGATAATATTTTGTATATGTTCATAAGACATACTGTTCTATAATTTTCCTTTCTTGTAATGTCTTTATTAGCTTTTATTAGGATAATGTTGCCCTTATAACAAGGAGTTAGAAAGTGTTCCCTTTGCTTCTATTTACTGCCAAAAATTGTGAAGAATTGGTAGCATGTCTTATTCAAGTATTTGGTAGAATTAACCACCAAAGCCATATGAGTATGCTGATTTTGTTTTTAACTGTTATTTTAAGTTCAGGGGTACAAGTGCAGGTTTGTTACATAGGTAAAGTTGTGTCATGACAGTTTGTTGTACAGAATATTTCATCACCCAGGTATTAAGCCTAGTACCATTAGTTATTTTTCCTGATCCTCCCCCTCCTCCCACCTTCCACCTCACCATCAAAAGGCCCCAGTGTGTGTTGTTCTTTCCACTCTATGTGTCCATGTGTTCTCACCATTTAGCTCCCACTTATAGGTGAGAACTTGTGGTATTTGGTTTTCTGTTCCTATGTTAGTTTGCTAAGGATAATGGCCTCCAGCTCCACCCATGTCCTTGCAAAGGACGTGATCCTGTTCTTTTTTAATGGCTGCATAGTATTCCATTGTGTAAACGTACCATACTTTAAAAACTGAATGAATAATTAACAACTTCCCAAAAGAAAAATCACCATAAAGCCCACAAAGATGAGACAGTATGGTGATTTTTCTTTTAGAAAGTTATTAATTATTGATTCAGTTTTCTAAGTAGATATAAGCCCATTTATATTTTCTCATTCTCTTTCTATAAACCTTGGTGGTTTGTATCTTCCAAAGAATAAGTCCATTTCATCTAATATAAAAATTGTGAGTTTTCAAGATATGAAATCAGCCTAAGTGTCCATCAGTGGATGAATGGAGAAAGAAAAAGTGGTACATTTAGACAATGTAATACTACTTAGACATAAAAAATAATGAAACCCTGTAATTTGCTGGCACATGGATGGAACTGGAGGACATTGTGTTAAATGAAATAAACCAAGCACAGAAAGACAAATATTACATGTTCTCACTCATATGTGAGAGCCAAAAAAAACTGAACTCATGGAGATAGAGAGTAGAATGATGGTTACCAGCAGCTGGGAAGGGTAGTAGGGCATGGGGAATATAGAGGGGAAGGTTGATGAGCACAAAGATACAGTTAGGTAGAAGCAACTAAATCTAATGTTTGATAGCACAACAGGACAACTAAAGTTAACAATAGCACATTGTATATTTCAAAATAACTAAAAAAGTAGAATTGGAAAGTTTCTAACACAAAGAAGTGATAAACGCTTGAGGTGATAGATATTCCAATTACCCTGGTTACCTTAGCTAGACATTTATTGATTTTTAAAAATATTTTCATAGAGGCACCTTTTGGTTAACTTGATTGTCCCTAGTGTTTTACTGTTTAAAATGTTATGGATTTCTGCTCTAACTTTTATTTCTTCTCTTTGTTTTGGGCTTAAATTGACCTTCTTTCTATAGTTTTCTATGTGAAATATGGATTAAAATTACTGATTTAGATATTTCTTACTTTCTTATATATGCATTTAGTATTAAAAATTTCTGTCATACCCCTGCTTTAACTATATCCCATACATTTTGGTAAGTTGTATTTGTATTTTACTCAGTTCAAAATATTTCTAAATTTTTGTTGAATCTACTTTTTTGACTTATAGGTTACTTGGATATATGATGTTAAACTTGTAAACATTTGCAGTGTTACTATTTTTTTATTTCTAGTTCAACTCTACTGTAGTGTGAGATACTTTCTATTATTTCTATTCTTTTTCAGTTTTAATATGTATTTTATGGCCCAGAACATAGTATATCCTGGTAAATTATTCATATAATCTTTCAAACTATGTGTATTTTGCTATTGTTACATGGAATATTCTAAAATTGTCGATTAGATTAAATTAATTGATGGGGCTATTCAATTCATCTATATTCTCAATGATTTTCTATCTGCTGGATCTATTGTCTACTGAAAGAAGAGTATTGAATCTCCAACTCTAATAGGAGACATGCCTAATTCTCTTTGCAGTTTTTGCCTTATATATTTTGCTGCTCTGTTATTAGGTGCCTACACATTTGGGACTATTATATTGTCCTAGAGAATTCACCCCTTTAACATATATCATATCTATGTTATTGTGGATGATTTTCTTGTTCTGAAATCTGCTTTGTTTGAAATTAATATAACTACTTCAGATACTTTTGATTAGTGTTATAAATTTCTTCCTCAGTTTACCTTTAAGCTATTGGAATCCTTATATTAAACTGTTTCTTGTAGACAACATATTTTTTGTCTGTTTTTCTTTAAATCCATACTGAAAATCTTTATTTAAAACTGGCATATTTAGATCATCGACATTTAAAGTGACTCTTGATATAGTTGGCTCAATATTCTCCATATATGTAGCTGTTTTCTCTTTTTTGGCAGTTGTTCTTTCCCCTCCACCACTTTTCTGCTTTCTCTAGCTTTAATTCAGCATTTTATATAATTCCACTTTATCTCCTCTATTAGCATGTCAATGATACTTCCTTTTAAATTTTACATTGATTGTTCTAGAGTTTCAATATACATTTTTTAACCAGTAAAGTGTATTTTCAAATGACACTATATGACTTAATGTGTAATGCCTATGTTTATTTATATATGTATATGTGTGTATATATGTGTATATCTATATAAAATTCTTTCTACATATACATATACAAATATGTATACATATGCAAATTATCTACATATACACATATATGTATGTATAGATTATTTTGTCATATATACATATGCCACATATACATCATACAGACATATATGTATGCATATATGTATTTATGCATATGTCTTATATGTATGCTTATATATACATAGGTATGTATACATATGTCTTACATAGGTATGTTTATGTATACAGATGTATACATATATATGACATATACATGACATATTATATATGACAGAAAATTCTAATTCCTCCCATTGCTGATGATATTTCTGTTACTCATTCACTGATTTGTATACTATAATCACCCAACACATTATTACTGTTACTTTAAAAAAGGTTATCTTTTAGATTAAGAAGAAAAATAAATGATTTTATTTAATCATTATTTATTCCTTTTCTGATATTCTTTTCTTTTTAATGGAGATCCAAGTTCCTGATGGATATAATTTTCCTTTTCCCTGAAGAACCTCTTTTAAAATTTTTTTGCCGACAGGTCTTTTGATGGTGTATTTTCTCAGTTTTTGTTTGTCTGAAAGTCTTTATTTCTGCTTCACTGTTGAAGGAGAAGGTTAAGTTTGCTGGATACAGAATTTCTGTTTGGGAGGTTTTTTAAAATTTTAAATATTCACTATTCTCTCTTCCTGCTTGAATGGAATCACCATGCTGTGTTTCTCACTGTAACTCCTTGTTCTTTGCTAGGTACAGTGGTTATTTTCCCTGTCTAATTTATTTCAAGATTTTCTTATTATCTTAGTTTTCTGAAGTGAGAATATGTTATCCTTAGGTGTAATATTTTTGGAATTTATCCTGCTTGGTTTTCCTTGAGCTTCCTGGATCTATGGTTTTGTGTATGTCATTAATTTTGAATGCTCTTGACCATTATTACTTCAACTATTTTGTCTGCTTTTGCCTCTCTTTCTTCTCCCCCCTGGCATTCCAATTACATTTTCATTTACCTTTTGTAATTATCCCCACAGTTCTTGGGTGTTCAGTTTTATTCTCTTCTTTGCATTCAGAAGTTTCTATTGATATATCTTCAAGTTCACTGTTTCTTCCCTTGGTTGTATCCAGTGGACTGATTCACTGAGATGGAGTTTTACTCTTGTTGCCCAGGTTGGAGTGCAATGGTGTGATCTCGGCTCACTGCAACCTCCACCTCCTAGGTTCCAGTGATTCTCCTGCCTCAGCCTCCCAAGTAGCTGGGATTACCAGTGCATGCCACCACGCCTGGCTAATTTTGTATTTTTTTTTTTTTTAGTAGAGACAGGTTTTCACCATGTTGATCAGGCTGGTCTCGAACTTCTGACCTCAAGTGATCCACCCGCCTCGGCCTCCCAAAGTGCTGGGATTATAGGCCATGAGCCACCACACCCAGCCCAAAGTCGTTCTTAAATCACTGTAATGTTTTTGATTTTTAAAATTTATTTTGAACCCTTTGTATTAAGAATTCTGACTCTATTTTT
Source organism: Homo sapiens (assembly GCF_000001405.40). NCBI lineage: Eukaryota > Metazoa > Chordata > Mammalia > Primates > Hominidae > Homo > Homo sapiens. Next base: position 89,418,156 of record NC_000007.14, read on the forward strand.
TTTTTTTTTTTTTTTTTTTTTTTTTTTTTTTTTTTTTTTTTTTTTTTTTAGTGTTTGACTTCTGATAACTTCTAAGTCTTACTCCTCTGTATGTCTTTTGTTCCACATCTGAGCAAGCTAATAAGAAAGCCTGGGTGCTTTCTGCTTTGGTGCTTACAGGAGATCCAAACCATACAACCCTCTGCTTGCACACAGGAACTCTCACCTCAATCTCACTTTCTAACCACAAGCAAAACCCAAAGGCAGTCTCCTTTCCTTTCTCCCATAAACCATTGCGGACCTACTTGGGAGGCCTGCACCCCATTGTCCACAAAAACTTGAATTCTGTAAGTAATAATTTTTTAAGCTCTTTTGGAGTGGGTTTCACATCCTCAGTCTCAACATCTGAATTAAATATTGACTGAGAGTGAATCCTGCACCTTCAGAATGGCTACAAAATGCTCTCTTAGAGTTTGTGTGTGTCTCTGCTTACATAACTATCTGTTATTGAATGTTGACTACTTTTTTCCATGAGTTCTTAACATCTTAATTATTTTAAAAAAATCCTCTGATGATTCCAACATCTGTCTCTTTCCTCAGATGACTGTTTCTGCTGCTTACTGTGGCTTTAAATACTTTTTTTGGCCCTTTAAAATGTCTTATAATTTTTGGTTTAAAGTCCAACTTGTATCAGTTAACAGAACTGAGGTATATCAGCCTTTAATGTCAGGATTTATATTAATCTGGGTAGGAGTTGGGCTGTGTTCAATGTTTGTTATAGTTTTAGATGCCATAGTCCTTTATATTCCTGCAGTACTCTTATTTGTGTTTATTTTTTTGACTTTGGGATTCCCTAAGTCTTCTTCAGACAGATTCTGCATGTTGTAATAATTTCAGATGTAATCCCCTTCAGTTATTAACTGAAGCCCTGACCTAATAATGGTCAGGTATGGGGTAGGAAAAGCACATTATAATCTCACATGAAATCTCATTCTTTTAGTGGGCCTGTGTCTCTGAGCTGTGACCTTCACAAGTATTTTTCTCATGATATATCTTTCCCTCCTCTGTGCCATTTATGTAAGACAAGACTGCTAGAAGGTGCTAGCATGAAAAGAATGTCATTTCCAAGTTTAGACAAGGCTCTGGTAAAGTCTTTCTCCCGGAGGATAGACCTTTGTTACAGATAATGCACTGGGCATATTTTACAATGATTGCTATTCCTCTGTTCTTGCCAGAGACAGGAGGAAACCTTTTTTTTTTTCTTCATCATGGGAACAAGGTGAGGTTCTCTGAGGTAACATTCCCTAAGACAGGAACCCCAGGACTTTCCAACTCTAAGGATTTCCCACATTCAGGATCCAGAAGTTTTCAAAATTACCTCTTAAGTTTTCCTACTAGTTTATGGCCCCAGAGGCTTCTACTCCAGGTAAGCAGTTCTCTGCAACTCTGAATTTGCTTGTATTTCTAGATTTTAAGGTGACAGTTTGCCCTGTAATATCAGTTCTCTGACGGGTCCAAGACAAGCCATCAATTTTAAGTTTCTTTAACTATTTCTTATTGTAAGGATGGGAATTGGAAATGCTAAGCTCTTTAAAGATTTGGGCTAAAACTGGAGGTAATGCTCATATTCTGTTTTTATCAAATTCACTGTTAAATATATATCATCTATCCTTCACACTCAGACAAAATCAAAACAATATTCAGTGATCAGTCACTCATTTTTAGATATTTGGGTTAACTGACGAAGGCTTTCATTTCCTTCTCCTATATAATCCTTGTACAATGGAACAAGGAGATAAGCAGTGAAAGGCCAAGGGAATGTCTGGAGTTAGGACTTCAGGTGATTCACAACTTGGCTGCCACTCACCCGAGACTGCCCAAGCCCAGATTTCTTCCTTCTATAAGAATATTGATTCTTGCAAATAAGATGAACCTAAATGTGGTCCAGGAGTCAGCATCTTCTACATGGTACTCAGATCTTCAAAAAGAAAAAAAGGAAAAAAATACAACCCCATTAAATAAGACAGTTATAGCTGCTGCTTTTTCTTTTTCATCATCCTTGTCTCTGTTTTCCTTTTCTTACCCCTCTTCTTCATGTAAGGCTTTCCTTATAACCCAATATAATTAGACAGAAACATAATAGTAACATATTACCAAGAGTGCAATTATTTCTACTTTAAAGTATAAAACTGGTCAAACAAAATTGATAATATTAATCTCAAGTTAGTTATTTTAATACAGACAGATGAAAAAAGGACTCATCACTTCAGTAAGTTTCACATACCACCTCTTCTAACCAGAAAGGAGTATTCTCTCAAGTAAAATAGTTCCTCATTCTTTCAAAAATTTAAAGTGCTTTATCTATAATGCTTTGGTATCCTAATTTCCCTTTATCTGGATTACATAGGCCATTGACATTCAAGCATAGTAAAAGAAAATGCTAAAATTTTATCTTGAATGTTAAAGCACAAGGACTTCTGTGAATGATGAGAGATTTCTCGAGTGTCACTGGTCAACACTCATTCCAACATATTGACAGAACGAAAATACTAACACCTAACTCCCTAGTAAAATATATACTTTCAGTACAGAAAATAAAATAACCCTGTCTTCTACTTGTTGAGAAAAAGTAGGTAAAATATTAAAGTGGAAAAATATGGCATTAGAGAGAGAAGTACCTGAATTTGAATCCTGAACTTGCTATGCAGCTTCAATGAGTTATACAACCTCTCTAATCCTTGGTTTCCTTAACCTTAAAATGGATACACTAATATTTAACTGGAAGAATTGTTGAAATGTTTAATTTGGCTCATCAAAATAACTAATGCAGAATGATAGATATTCAATAAGTGATAACTATAATTATTGTTAATGTGTAAAAGTTTTCTTGCAAAGATATATTTCATTAAAAACCATCACAACTTGCATTTGAAATGAATAGAGAAAGATCTGCTACTCTATTTCTACTCATACCTCCAGATAGCATGATGCTTCTTCCTGAAATAAAAATAGGAGGAAGGGCTGGGCGCGGTGGCTCACGCCTGTAATCCCAGCACTTTGGGAGGCCGAGGCGGGCGGATCACGAGGTCAGAAGATGGAGACCATCCTGGCTAACACGGTGAAACCTCATCTCTACTAAAACTACACAAAAATTAGCCGGGCTTGGTGGCGGGCACCTGTAGTCCCAGCTACTCGGGAGGCTGGGACAGGAGGATGGCATGAAGCCAGGAGGCGGAGCTTGCAGTGAGCCAAGATGGCGCCACTGCACTCCAGCCTGGGCGACAGAGCGAGACTCTGTCTCAAAAAAATAAAATAGAGGAGGAGGAAGGGGAAGAGGAGGAGGAGAAAGAAAGGAGGAGGCAGAGATGGCTCCACTCCTGAATACGTTTTAGGTAGTGTGGTATTTAAGCACTTCATCTTGGCCAAATTTGATAACAATTAAAGTTTGTTTCCAGGTTCCTTGGGACTCTATTTTAGTGTTCGTTTCCACTCCAGATTAGACCTTTCCAAATACTCTCAGAAACTTTAGATGTCCTCCAATCAAACTCTGCTCTCTTGAAAAGACTGCCAGCAGTCTTTTATACCTCTCTATATTGCCATTCCAGAAATACTGGTATTTGGGGTCATGTTTCTAACTAGGGAATTGAGAGTTACAGATAGCATAAGGAGTAGTATAAGGATATTGCAACAAGGATTTTGTAAAGGATCCCTGAGTAAGGGATCTCAAGCCTTAGATGGAAGAAATATATCATGTTTGCATGTGTGTTAGTGTGTTAGTGTGTGTGTGTGTGTGTGTGTGTGTGTCTCATCCAGCTTGTGGCCCTATGAGCCCTGTACAGAAAATGGTAGAGGCTGAGAACATAGACATTCCCACATTTAATAATGCAAGAGGGTATTCCTTTAGTTGAATACTTCTTTTCAGAAATCCACACAAAATCAGATATAAAGAAATTCAACAGAAAAGAAAAATCAGGCTAGGCACGATGGCTCACTCCTGTAATCTAAGCATTTTGGGAGACTGAGGCAGGAGGATGGCTTGAGCTCAGGAGTTCAAGACCAGCCTGGCCAACATGGCAAAACTCTGTATCTACAAAATATACAAAAATTAGGTGGGCGTGGTTGTGCATGCCTATAGTTAAGCTGCTTGGAGACTGAGACAGAAGGATCACTTGAACGCAGGAAGCTGAGGTTACAGTGAGCTGCCATCACACTACTGCACTCCAGCCTGGGTGACAAAGTGAAACTCTGTCTCAAAAAAAACAAAAAAATTACCTAAGCATGGTGGTGCATGCCTGTGGTCCCAGGTATCTGGGAGGCTGAGGTGGGAGGATGGCTTCAGCCTGAGAGGTGAAGGTTGCAGTGAGCTGAGATGGTGCCATTGCACTCCAGCCTGGGTGACAGAACGAGACTTTGTCTCCAAGTAAAAAAGAAAAAAGAAAAAAGATCACTTTTCTAGTTTGTTTATTTCATAAATTGGCAACAATTTGTTAATTTTTTCAAAAGAGTTTTAAAATGTGTTATTTATTCCGAAGAAACCCATAAAACATTGAGAAAGGAAGAAAAACAATAGTTTTTCTTCATACTAACACATAGCAAATATTGAATGAACAATTCAATTCCATCAGCTTTCAAAACCCAAGGTATTTGGTTCTTGTTTGTGATGGTGCTGGTAGTGGCAATATATATGTAAGTGTGTATATTTTAAATTATAAAGCATTTTGAAATCCTTGTACATTAATTATTGAAACTGCAGTCATTTAATATGGAGTTTCACCAGTCTATGTGTGAAAGACTAATGAAAGGGTTAAAGAATTCACAATTTCCCAAAAGAAAAAAGAAATCATGAAATAAATCCACTATTAGAGTCTAAATGGTAATGCAGCCTCATTTAAATAACAAGGAAATTATAACTTTCCAAATAATAAAAAGCTTAAAGCAGCTTAAAAATAGCTCTGGGTGAACACACGACAACTAAAAACAAAATGGAAGAATGGAAGCTCAGTTCCTACCTTACCACTGAGGAATTTTAAGTTATCATTCCTGTAAACATTTCTCCAGTGGCTCCACGGAATTTAAAAATGCCTTCCAAATTGCCTTCAGTTTTCACAGGCCATCTAAAAGAAACATGATTTTCCTTTCTTAGCAAACATGATAAAGACCTTGAGGAGATATAAGCAATTTATTGATGAGGACAAGAATGGCTTTTAATTTGCCATGGGGGATTTGAGCCAGAAGTTACTGGAACACCAAATCTGTGAAGCTGACATCTGTAGGTCAAAAATAAAAACAAAAGAGCAAATAAAACACAATCCATGAACAAACACATTTTTTAAAAATTAGATTAAATTGTATAGTTCCAGTTGGAAGAAATTTTCAAAGGAAATAGTATCATCTTTTGGTTCATTGTAATATGCAAAAAAAAAAAGCATTTGAAAAGATTATATCAGAGAAGCGGAGAAAATGCATAACATCTAGTTTATGGTACAATTTTTTCTCTCTGCTATGAATGTTAGGAAGAGTTGGGTATACCTCTTTGTGTGGACATATGTTTTCATTTATTTGGGATTGTTTCTGTGGTGACTTATTTATTTTGTGACCTTGCCAAACATTCGGGGATTTTCCAGTTGTCCTTCTATTTTTTGATGTATAGTTCAATTCCATTACATTCGTATAACATACTTTGTATTATTTCCATTTGTAACGTTTTGGGGGCTTCTTTTGTGGTACAGGAGATGGCCTATCCCTTTGCTCCATGTACACTTGGAAAGACTATCTTTTCTCTCATTTGATAGAGTTCTTTATAAATATCAATTTGAATAATTTGGTTGATATTGATGTTCAAGGCTTCTATATCGTTAGAGATTTTCTATTTACTTTTTCTGTCTTATCAATTACTGCAAAAGGAGTACAATATATATTTGGTTTGTCCATTTTTTCCTTTTAGTTCTATCAGTCTTTAAAGTTCTATAAGTACTTCAATGTTTTGTTATTGGTTCCATGCATATTTGATATTTTTATGTCTTCTCCAGATAGACCCTTTATCACTATAAAATTAAAATTTTTCTTTATCCCCTTTTTTTTTTTTTTGACAGAGTCTTGCTCTTTCTCTGTCACCCAGGCTGAAGTGCAATGGCAAGATCTTGCCTCATTGCAACCTCTACCTCTGGGACTCAAGTGATTCCATGCCTCAGCCTCCCAAGTGGCTGGGACTACAGACATGGGCCACCATACCCAGCTAATTTTTGTATTTTTAGTAGAGATAGAGTTTCACTGTGTTGGTCAGGCTCATCTTGAACTCCTGAGCTCAGGCGATCTGCCCGCCTCAGCCTCCCAACGTGCTGGGATTACAGGCATGAGCCACTGTGCCTGGCCATCTCTTTATCCCTTATAAAAGTCATTTTGAAATATGCTTTGTGTGATATTAATATAGTCTTCCAGCTCTCTTTTCAATAGTATTTGCATATGTTATTTTTAATTTTTAAACTTTCTATATTTTTATGCTTAAAGGGGATTGTTCTATAGACAGAATACTTTTGGTCTTGCTTTTTTTTTTAAAGCCAATATGACAATCTCTGCATTTTAATTGGAATATTTAGACCATATAAATGTAAGGTAAAGTGATAATATTTGTGGTTGGCCAAATAATGCCATACCCAAAGATATCCACAGCCTAATCCACAGGATCTGAGAACGTACATGATAAAGGGGATTACATTATGTTGCAGATGAAGTTGAGGTTAATAATGAGTTGACCTGAAAATAGGGAGATTATCTTATTTAATTAATTACAGGGTCCTTAATACTGGAATAGGGAAGTGGAAGGGAGAGACTGTGGCATAAAAAGGGCTTGGCCCAATTTTGATATACAAAAGTGATCAATAGGCAAGGAATATGGGCAACCTCTATAAACTGAAAAAGAAAAAGCTGTTTGGATTCTTTCACAGAAGAAAAGCAGTCCTACTGATAACTTCATTTTAGTTAATTGAGACCCATTTCAGAAATCCAATGCTGGGAAGTAATACAGAATAGTGAAGGTAAAGTTACAAAGATGAAATTTTTCATCTCATCAATTGGCATTCGTGTGTATGTATACGTACATAAACTCATAGTATATATATACATATACACACAAACACAAAACCCACATATATCTACTTAATTAAATCAATTAAAATTCAGTCACATTTTTAGTAACTTCAATATGTAATTTAGCAGTTACAGTGGCATCTATCCCTAAATAGTTTTTATTTATGGGGTATGATATGTAATAACTGAAGTGGTGATAATACAAAGTACTATGATATTTGACAAAAGTAAAGTGCAAATCGAATCCAAATGCTAAATAAGGAATAAAATTAGTACTCGAGTGTAACAAATCATGACTGCAGAAGTGTTTAATGAAAAGTTTACATATGAAATGGATATTGCAAAGAGCTCTTAAATGCCTTTACTAAGATGTTTAGACTTTAGTCAAGAGTTAGTGGGGAAGATGAAAATGTTTTCTCTTTTCTTTTCTTTCCTTTTTTTTTTTTAAGTAGTGAAATCATCTAAACCAGAATCCTCTTTTAGAAAGATCATATTGATGGTAGTAAAGAAATGGAAATGGCAAGAACATACGAGAAGGGTGTCTAGGTTAAAAACTAATGAAATAATTCATCCATGAGAAATAAAAGAATAAACTCTGTACTGGAAGGATATAAAAAGGAAACATATATGAATACTACAGAAGTAGAATGAACAGAATTTGAAGACAGAAAACCTATAAAATGGTTTTTATATAAATTATTTAAATTATATATAATTTATAAGTTGGATCTCCTGGGTTTTGTACTCAGTGGTTAAACTCCTTGTAATTCCATGTATGAACTATTATTTACTTTGCTAGTATTTATATCTTACGGCCAGCCTCTTAATAATTTGAATAATATTATTATGTCCATCAGATAGAAAGAGAAAGGGTAGTAAAATGGAATCCAATTAGTTGTCTTTCCTACTTGCCAGTAATATTCTGGGAAAAAAAAAAACAGTTAATATGGTATAAGCTTATACGTTTTTACTTTATATACTGCCTTAATATATAATTAGAAGATGAATGTAAGTAAAAGTCCTACTATATTTGATCTTTGGATGACTTCACAACCAATAATTGTTTTTTCACCTGAACTTCACATTTAAAACTTTCAAGCAAGAGAACTTAGAGAATGCACAATTGCTCACTCCAAGTACTTGTAACAGTAGAATATTTATATATGTAAAAATGTGAAATTATTATTTATAATCTATCCCTTTTGTATATATAAGTCTCATCTGGTAATTATGCCACAAACTCAGAAGAAAGTGTAATCACAGGCATATAAATATATAATATATATATTTTTATGTCATATTCATTATCACAATATAATTTTATTTGATAAATAAATTAAGCCTAGTTAATACTATAGAAAAGGACTATGACTTTATTTCTCTTAATGGATTATTTGTAGCAAAAATAATATAATTTTGTTTGAAAAACAGTTATTTACAGGTATAATATATAGAGGAAATTGGTTGGAAATAAAGCAATTATTTGCTATGAAACTTTTTAGATGTCACCCCTACCTAACTTGTAGAATTCTTGGTCTTTTGGAATGTATGGCATAGAGACCTTTATGAAAGATAATTCCATTACCTCTCTGTTTCAGATGTATTGTTTCAGGACAGGCAAGCCCCAAAATTGGGGTTTAGCCCAAAAGAGTTCTTGGCTTCACCCAGGAAGGAATTCAAGGGCAAGCTGCTGGCGGAGTTAGACAGCAATCTTTTTTGAATGGTACTGCTCTTTGCAGAGCAGGGCTAACTCATAGGCAATGCACCCAGATTTGCTAATGTATGGGCTCTTGGCAACTGTACTTAACTCCTGTAAATCCACTTTCAATTATGTGCAAATTAATGGGTGGGTCAATGCAAATTGGGGAACGGGTTACTTAAAACTTTCTAAGAAAGGAGCAGTCATTTCTGGGTTGTTGCCTTGGAAAATGGTAGTAACTTTTGGGCCATTGCCATGGCATTTGTAAACTGTCATGGCACTGGTGGGTGTGTCTTATGCCATTGAGCAATGAGGGCAGCTAAAGGTCGTTTTCTTTGCCATCTGCTTGTTACTGTCAGTTTCTTCATTTTATCCTGGCTGGACAAGATTTTGTTTTGGTCATCGGGGTTGTGAACGGAATAAAAAGTTCTGCCAGTCTCTCACCTTGTATAGCTGAGTTCATAAGTTGTTCCTTCATGGAATTTTTTTTTTTTTTTTTTTTTTTTTTGAGGCAGAGTTTCGCTTTTGTTGCCCAGGCTAAAGTGCAATGGCGCGATCTCAGCTCACTGCAACCTCCGCCTCCCTGGTTCAAGGGATTCTCCTGCCTCAGCCTCCCAAGTAGCTGGGATTACAGGCATGTGCCACCACGCCCAGCTAATTTTGTATTTTTAGTAGAGACAGGGTTTCTCCGTGTTGGCCAGGGTGGTCTTGAACTCCTGTCCTCAGGTGATCTACCCACCTCAGCCTCCCAAAGTGCTGGGATTACAGGCATGAGCCACCATGCCCGGCCCCTTCATGGATTTTAATCATTGCCTCACAAACCACCACTTATTAAATTAAAGGTCTTTACTACTTCAGTAAGTACATATTTGTACTTAGCAAAGGGAGATATAAAATAGTCCAGTGAAAACAAGAAATTCAGCTGAGGATCTTAATGTATTTCTTATTACACATAGCAAGATCTTATTCTTAAAATCTTTAAAATTTTTTAAATCATATATATCTGGGGCAGGGAGGAAGGAGTTCACTGTGTTCGTAAGCTTGGCTTCAAATATCAATAGATGTAGGCAAGTAGGTAATTCTTAGATGACAAAATAAGAATGTGTATTGTTATGAAAGCTGGCTTTTCTGCTCCAAGAACAATAAAGTTGGCTGGTTGGCAAGATAAGAGACAGCTGGAAGCTGAAGATTAAGTGTGTAAGAGTATTATATTTTGAAATTTGAGAAATGACCTCAGCGCTACTTGCTCCTACCACTCTATCTGCAGCAAAACTGTTTATAACATTATGTTCCAGGAAAGTATAGGAAACAGATCTACCGACATTGCACATGATGAAAACTCATAAATTCAAAAAAAAATGCTTTCTAATAACATACAGAAACAAGGCTAAAAGTTAGAACTACAGTTCAGGCATCTATGCTGGTAAAGTCCCTAAGCCTTATTAATCAAATTATTAGTAAATTTGCAAAATAAAGAAATGACTTACAATTGACAACTTCATGGGCAAAAGAACTGAAATTGTGGGAGAAAACTGAAAATCACTTCTCAACTATTTCTGTAATGTATGTCAATAGCAAAACCCAGAATTTTCAAACCTTATTTTCCAAAGGGAAAACTAGAAAAAGAGCTGCATGCTGCACATTTGTTATTAAGGGGACTGATTCGAAATCAGTCGAAATGTAAAGATGAAGTTTTTCACCATTGAAAATTATTTCCAGATATGTGGATTTTTTGGCTACAGCAAGATAATAAACAGTTTAGGAACAAAAACAGAGCTGTAAATCACCACCACTCATGATCCAGGACTTCAAGTAATGGTGAAAAATAGAACAATAATTATTGCCCCCGACCCTCCTAAAAACACGCAGTCTTCTGCTTGGGGAAGAAAGGAGAGAGAAGAGAAAGAAATCACAGAAATAGCCAAAGGGAAAAACGAAAGAGGAAAAGGTGCAAAGCAAGAAAGCAGGAGAGTGAAGCTGAGTTTTATGGCTCCTTCTGTTCCCTGGTTGCGTGCACCCATATCTTCCCTGGTCTAAAGAGTTCTAAAGATGATGTATAAGGGAGCAATGCAAAAATAGCAGAGAATAATTTGGGTAATTTATTAGGTCTGTAACAACTCTCATTTTCATTATCATCACATTACCTTTTACGTTCACTCTTCCCAGCTTGAAGTGCAAAATGCAGATGGCAAGTTCCTTTGAGAAAGCACATTGTTTTGTTGCTTAATGTTTCAAAAGGAAGATGTATAATGAATTGAGCATAACACATAATTACAGCTTGTTCACTGTATTTAGCATCGAAAAGTTCATAGCCAGATGGAAACATCTGACGAAAACTAGGAGTGTCTCTTACTAAGCATGTGCCAAAATATGTCTAGGACCTAAATTTATGAATCCTGGGCATAAGCACTTTTAAATAGAAATGCTAATAGATATTTGACTATAGTGTCAAGAAAATCCCTGCTCTAATGAAAATGTTCAGATGTTTCAATAGGCTAAAGCTTGACAAGAATAAGGGATACAGAATTTTGTAGACCCTGCTGGGTTTTTTTTTTTTTTTTTTTCCATTAGAAAAAGAAGGAGAAACCGTGGTATCCAGGCACAGGGAATACATTTCTGGAAGCTGTTTTAGAAGAACACACCAGCAAAAGAACCAATACATTCTAGTTACATTGTAAAATATTAGATGCTTTTATTTTATTCAACTATTACTCAATATAAAATATTGTTCACAGTCAAAAGAAAAGTCATCCTTAAGCCTTTTATTAGAATTTTTCATAATGTTATTTAGATAGACTCCCAGCATGCCTGTTTAAGATTGCCTTACAAAGCAGAGGCAAAAGTCTAGGCTGTCTTGGAAAAAGGGTTAAAAGTAATTTAGGTTTTATTCCAATAATATATACTTCATAGAAATGGACTTCCGAGTCTCGACTATATGTTTATAAAACCTGAACATAAGAATAATTCCATCCCTTTCATCCACCTCACATTTATAAGAAAAATAGCAAATGTTTCCAATTACTTGGTGTTTGGGATGAGTGTACAATGGACCCTTTCATTTTATGAATGTGACATTTGAGTAAGTTAAGTTTGTAGATACGGCATTTCAGCAAGTTTGTTGTACGTAAAGACATTATTGAAATGAGGTTCAGAACATTTGCATTGCAATGTATCTACTTAAAAATACCTTTGTATCCTCATTAAAATCTTAGACTCCATCCCTCCAAAACATACGCACACACACAGACACACACACACACACACACACACAACTAACTTTTCATAGTGTTAGCAACGGGAGAAAAGAAAAGGACAGATAATACCTCATCATTTATTTCATTTTATGGTAGGAACAATACAGAGATACAAAACTATTCGTGAAAACTTCCTTGTTGTCCGGTGTCAACTGAACAAGTTAGATTGCATTTACTGTGGCCTTTAATCACATTCTCCTGAGTTCCAACTATGTGTAATTCCTACTCAGGATACCTACTGGGATGTGTAATGGGCATATCGAACTTGAACATGCCTCAGACAGAATTTTTGATACATTCTACCTGTCCGGAGCTACTGTTCTTTGATTCCCTACCAAATTTTCAGTTCATGAGACCTTTATCAACACTTTTGCAGCCCAAAAATGTAGTGGATAGCTTTGACTCTTTTCTTCTCTACTACCTTCATGCTGCCAGCACTCCCTCTCCCATATAGTTAGTTTATTGGATTGTATTATTCTACCTCCCTTATCATTGTTTGTATGATTTACTACATTTGTCTCCTAAACGAACTCCTTGTTTTCATTCTTGACCTGTTAAAGCATATTCCCTAAAGGCCAGCTAAAGGGATCTGTTTGGAACATATATGTTTATGTTCTAGGCCACTGCCACTTTCTTGATCTAATTTGTCTCACATTTTGCTTTGTTCACTGACTTTCAAACAAACTAGTATTCTTTCTAGTCCATCAGAAGCCAAGCTCCTTCTTCCCTCAGAGTATTTGTACATTTCTTCTTTGCATAAATGCTCTAAATTTACATTTTTCATTCAGGTATTGTATTAGTCTGTTCCCACACTGCTAATAAAGACATATCCAAGGCTGGGTAATTTATAAAGGAAAGAAGTTTAGTTGACTCAAAGTTCCACATGGCTGGGGAGGCCCCACAATTATGGCTGAAGGCAAATGAGGAGCAAAATCACCTCTTACACAGCAGCAGGCAAGAGAGCTTGTGCAGGGAAACTCCCAATTATAAAACCATCAGATCTCATGAGATTTATTCACTACCATGAGAACAGTGTGGAGAAGCCTCCCCCATGATTCAGTTGTCTCCACCTGGCCTCACCCTTGACTTGTGGGGATTATTACAATTCAAGGTGAAATTTGGGTGGGGACACAGCCAAACCATATCAGGTATCAAGTCAAACTTTATTTTCTCTTGAAGGATCCCCCTACTGACTCTCAGCTTTGTCAGTAACCAGTATATCACTATTTCTTCTCAGTAATTGAACATAACTGTCTGATACTAGAATGCCATATTTATCTGTTCTAATATTAATAGAATGTTATATTTATTTGATTTACTTATGGCCCATCTTTCTCTCCATTTGAATGTTAGTTCTCTGAGAGCAAGGAACTCATTTGTTCTGTTCACTGTATATCCAACATCAGGCACTGAGTAAATATTCAAAATTTATTCTTCCAAAAAGTCAGCAAATTTCTGAGATCACCCCAGTCATGACCTGTGATAAACTTTAATGGCAGATATCCATAAGATTAAACGGCAGGTTCATTGTTTCCAGTCAAATACATGCAGCATTTACTTTTGCCTAAAGTATTCTATTGTTTTTTGCTGTGCTTGTCCAAAATTTTATTTTTTAGTAAATAAGTGACTCTTTGTTGAAGCATGACCAGGACAAACTTAATGTCTTCAGCTGGACCATGCTTTAGACAGGCTTCTTCCTTCTCTAGCTAGGCCCACCCAGCCTCTCTTTCCTTATAGCATTTACTTTAGAAAACTTTCAATGGAAAATCCTTTCTCTTCCCTTTGAGATGTAAATTTAAGAGGCTTTTTAGCCTCTTATCCAGGACTGTCTTTTTCGAAGAAGTGGGAGCCATCCCTTTGAAATGTGATTATCAAGAATGATAGTGCCCCTATCTTCCAGTGTCTATGAAAGCTAACTAGAGGGAGCCGTGTTCCAATTTGTAAAACTACTTCCTGTCTGAAGATACAAGTTTACACAAATGGCCTGAAATATCCTCCTTCACCTCGGCTACTAATAATCCTGCTGTTGGTTTCAGCTGAATTGAGTTCAGACTCAGTTCTGGTTTCACTCCCCTTCAACAATAGTGTTCAATAAACTCTTCGTTGCCTCTTTACCTTTCTCCAGAGCCATTTTTGCTTCAGCAGGTTGAATTAACTAACAGTAAAATGCAGGGATCTTAAGTGGCATTTCAAGAAGTTTCAACAAATGTGTGAGTCCATGCAATCCCTATCCCTCTCTAGTTGTAGAATATTCTCATCATCCTAGGAAGTTCCTTCTCATGTGCTTTCTTCCAAACTCCAGCTTCATAGAAACAACTGCTGATTTATTTCCACCATTATGACTAATTCCATTTATTCCAGAAATGCATATGCATAGATTTATACAGGATGTGTGTGCTCTTTTCTTTCTGGGTTAATTTACACAGCTTGATGTTTTTGAGATTTATTCGTGATGCTATTTATACCAGTATTTTATGCCTTTGTATTAGTGAGTAGTATGCCACAGTGTGACTATATCTGTTGGTTGATAGATAGCTGTGGTTTCTCCAGTTGGGGGTTATTATGCATGAGGCTGCTAGGAACATTCGTGTATAACGCTTTTGTTTTATAAACTTACATTTTTATGTTTGGGAGATGAATCCTCAGGAACAGAATTGGGTCATAAGAGAAAATGTAAGTTTAAACTGTTAAGAAACTGCCTAAGAGTTTCCCAAATTGCATTGCTTTACATTTTCATCAACAAAGTATGAGTTCTGGCTGTTTCACATCCTCTCCAACATCTAATGTCAGGCTTTTTAACTGGAATCATTTTAGTAAGTGTGCTTAGTGGCTCAGTATAGTTTTAATTTGCCTTTCTCTGATTGCTAATGATGTTAAGCACTCTTCCGTGTGGTTATTGACCATTTACGTAACTTCTTTTGTAAAATATCTACTTAAATTTTTCCCATTTATTTAGTGGCTTCTTGGTCTATATATTACCTCTTTTATAGTAGTTTTTAGTACTCTGAATAAAAATTATTTGTCACATATTTTCATAAAATATGCTTCTAGAACCTTCCTCCAATACATCAATAACCAACCCTTCTCTGTAGCCCCTCCCTTAATCTATCTATCCAACACCCATTCAACTTCTAAACTTTCAACATACTCATGGATATTAGGTCTCACCTACAAAAGCTCAGGTGGCCTAAACCCAGGTCACCTACATTGGACTCATCCTAACCCCTGTAGATCCAGAAAATCTGAGACAGGTCTCAGTTAATTTAGGAAGTTTATTTTGCCAAGGTTGAGGACACATGCCACTGACACAGTCTCAGGAAGTCCTGACGACATGTGCCCAAGGTGGTTGGGGTGTAGCTTGGTTTTATGCATTTTAGGGAGACATGAGACATCAATCAAGTACATTTAATAAATACATTGATTTGGTACAGAAAGGCGGGACAACTCAAAGCAGGGGCTTCCAGGCTATAGGTATATTTAAACATTTTCTGGTTGACAATTGGTTGAGTTTGTCTAAAGACCTGGGATCAGTAGAAAGGAATGTTTGGGTTGCAATAAGAGGTTGTGGAGACCAAAGTCTTATCTTACAGATGAAGCTTTTAGCTAGCAGGCTTCAGAGAGAACAGGCTGTAAGATGTTTCTTATCAGACTTAAAGTCTGTGTTGATGTTAATGCCAGAGAAGTATAATGAGGCATGTCTGAACCCCACTTCCCTTCATGGCTTGAACCAGTCTTTCAGGTTAAAGTTTAAGAGTCTTGACTGAAGAGGAAGTCCATTTAGATGGTTGGGGGGCCTTAGAATTTTATTTTTGGTTTACACCCCTCAATCTCAGGCCATACCAACCTGACAAAAAGCTAATTTGGGATATGTCCCTTCCTCATACAAAGAAAAACCTCTTCTCCTTCTTAGGCCTCGTGGGATCCGTCCAGCTGTGAATTCCCATCTTCAGCTTACTGACCAAGCCACTCTACATGGCATCATGTGGGTCCATCCTAAAAACCCTGGACCCAGCTTGCCCCATTAACTCCCATTTCAAAAAAACTGAAAAAATGCTCTTTTAATGGCCCCAGCACTGGGACTACTCAACCCCACCAAGCCCTTTACTCTGTATGCTTATTCCAACCAAGGGCTTGCTCTTGGGCTACTCTGTCAGACATATGGCAATGTCCTGCAAGCCACTACATACCTCTCAACATAACCGGACTCTGTCATCCAAGGTTGGCCATCCTGTTTAAGGATTTTGGATGTGGCCATGCTGCTGGCCTCAGAAGCACAAAAACTAAACATCTACTAACACCTTACTGTTGCATCCTCTCATAACCTACAGGAACTCATGAGCCATCACTCCCTCCTTTCCCTACTGCCATCCTGCCTACAGCAAATACATGCCTTACTCATAATCAATCTTTAGTCGCCTTCCAAAGATGCAAATCTCTCAACCTGGCCACCCTCCTTCCTATGAGTACCTCCAACTCTGAACTGTCTCACTCTTGCTTGGACCTTTTAGATTCCCTTTCTTTCCCTTTCCAACACGTAGAAGAAACCCCTAACCTGGGACACCTACATGGCTTATTAATGGAAGTGCTTTTAAGGAACCACATCCTGAGTAGACTACACCATCACTGACAAAAAAAATGGACTCTTGGAGTCCAATCTCCTCCCATCCCATACCACCTCCCAACAAGTAGAACTAGTTGCCCTAACCAGGGCTCTCACCCTAGCAAAAGGAAAGAGGGTTAATATATACACCGACTCTAAGTATGCATACTACATGCTACATTCCCATGTCCTAATCTGGCAGGAAAGAGGTTTTCTGACCACCAAAGGAACCCCAATAGTAAATGGCAGGCTAATAGGTAAGCTGCTGGAGGCAGCTAAACTACCACTAGAGATTGCCATTATCCATTACAAAGAACATCAACGGGCTACAAACACCATTGCTAAGAGGAACACCTTGGTGGATTCGTAGCCTAGCAGGCAGCTCTTAAAATCCCCTGACTACTATCCATTTTTTTCCCAGCATACACCCTGTATATACCCAGGAGGAACAAACCTCACTCTCC
Organism: Homo sapiens; assembly: GCF_000001405.40. NCBI lineage: Eukaryota > Metazoa > Chordata > Mammalia > Primates > Hominidae > Homo > Homo sapiens. Next base: position 89,435,238 of record NC_000007.14, read on the forward strand.
CAGGCTGGCGCCATTCAGGAAGGAGAATTCTATCTCAATAACAAAATTCTCCTGCCCAAGTCCCAGGAACCCTCTGTTCTCTCATATGTACACGAGCATTCCATGCCACTTAGTGCCCCCTACTCCAGCTCTTAAAAACTTACATACATTGTCCCACCATGGCTGCCAATCTCAAAGGTATTACTAAGGTCTGTTCCATTTGCACTCAAACTTCCCCCTCAGGGAACCATGAGGCCCCTCCTTTCCCCACACACCAGGCCCAAGTACACCTGCCAGAACAGGACTGACAAATCAACTTCACCCACATGCCCCCTGTAAAACTGGTCCAGTATCTTCTGACAATAGTAAATACATCCACTGGATAAACAAAATGTTTTCCTACTACCACCAAAAAGGCACACACTATCAGTTCTATTCTCTTCACTCATATTATTCCCCAGTTTGAACTCCCCTCTTCCACCCAGCCAGACAACAGGTCAGCATTTGTTTCATAGGTTAACCAACAGCTGGTAGAGGCTCTAAACATCAAATGAGTCTTCCATATCCCCTACCACCTCCAATCTTCAGGTAAAGTTGCACCGGCCAATGCCCTTTTAAAGCAGCAACTGACCAAACTCTCCCTAGAGGTTAAGATGGCCTGGACTTCACTTCTCCCATTGGCCCTCATGTATTTACAAGCCATTCCCTGCAAGCCCCTCAGCCTAAGCCCATTTGAACTCATGTACAGACACCCCTTTATCCTCCAGAATCTCTCTCTATTCCCCTTCTGTCTATATGGGATACTTGGCCAGCATTACACTTCATTAAACATCTAATAAAACACTACGCTAACACTTACTTGCCCAAGCCTGAAGGCTGATCCTCTGAATACTCCTCCCCCTCCCTGCAACCAGGGGACTGAGTCTGGATTGCAGACTCCTCCTCCCTTCTCCAAACTAAGTAAATGGGTCCTCACCAAGTTATCCTAGGTATTTCCATGGTGGCAAATCTAGCATCTTTTCCACAATGGATACACCATTCCAAACTAAAAAGAGCACCAGACCCACATCCAAAAATTTCCTTAACCCAAAGATATTCTTCCTCCCTCAAATCACTGCACTTAACAAGAATTCCAGAGGTTGTCAGCCCTAAAGGCCCTGGCCCATAACACTTTCCATCTCCAATTTTAAATCTTTCATTTGATAACTTGTTTCAGATCTTTCCTGGTACCCCTTTCCCATGTCCTGAAACAGTCCACTTCAATTTCTCACACTAATCCAGAAGCTATGGTTGCAAATCACCTTCCAAAATTTCACTCCTACTCAAATCTCCCTTTGCTCCCTTTGTCTTCTTTGTTTGTGAGATGCTCTAAGTCCCCACCCACAACCTTTGACAGTTGAGCACCCTTTGCCAACCTAATGCACTACCTCCTCAGCCAAGCCCAGTCTCCCCTCTCCTCTAGTTGCTGAATATGCTTATCCACACAAACCCAACAGTTTTCCTGCCATCCCCACAGACTTACACACCTGGACTCAGTCTAGCATGACCCTGCACCTCATATATAAGGCTGTTCCATTTTCTGAAACTTTTTATACCCTCGGCCATCTAAACACCTTCCCCCCACAGACATTTTTTTCTTTTCAAAACTCTAAACTCAGGGCCGTTACCCTCCTATGACTCCTTACTCCTGGTCTATCCCTAATACAGGCAAATTCCCTCAGACCACCCACTGGAAGTTTCATTTCCACCCAGACATCACTCACAGTTCAGGTCCCCCTCTGCTTTTGCAGATCTTTCTCCAACCCCAACCATGGGACTCTGGTGGGCAGTCTACCTCCATCCCTGTACAACTTTACCCTCACTTTCAACCCATGTCAGGATCATCAAAATCACCAAATAAATCACTGAACAGGATCTTCCTCAGCCTTCAAAAATCCACTGCGATTTTCTGCAACCCCCCCTTCCATCTTGGCACCCACTTCTTCCATCTCCTCCCCACCTCTCTCTGTAGGCGAGACTCACATGTACTCAGGTTGAGGAAATCCACTGGAGGGAATGCAATAACTCCTCTCTCTCATGCTTCCTCCTGCCTAGCCCTTCTTCCAACTCACAATGGCTGTTAATGGACAAAACCCATTATTTCCTTTTTACAAAATCACACTTCCTTCACTCCTTCCCCCACTAACATACTTTATCAGTCACTCACCAGAGCTGTCCTTGAAGGTAACTTTTCAATATGGGAGAATAAGAAAAATGTCCAAGAGGGTATAAGGAAAATGGTTGTGCTTCAGTCAGGAGTAGGCTGAGGCAGATATCTGGTACAGCATGACACAGCAGGTTTCGAGTGCAGGTGCATAAACCCCTGCTCTATGTAATCAGATTTATGTAGCCATTTAATGTAACCTGTTTGTGTGAGCTCATATCTGGCTTTGAGTCTCTTTTGTCTGTGAGAAATATAACTGCACTGCTGACTCTGTAGGAGAGAGACAGAATAAAGCCATGTCCCAACTGCCTACAGTCCCTCGAGTGTACTTTCAGCTACCTGCCACCTGTCCACCAGCTCCTCTCAGGCCCCAGCTCGGATTGGAACCTGACAATTGATGTAGTCATCAGGATACAGAGCCATGCTGCTAGGATGGGCTCTGGTGAAAACATGGGTGGTGGTGGATGGGTCCCCTGTGAGTATAGAGAAGGCACTGAAGCACCTGGAAGCATAGAGCACTGAGAAGGAGCACGCCTTTGCCAGCAGAGTTGGATGGGCATTTTTGACTGTGATACAGGAAGTGCATGCTCAGTCCCTGTGGGATGCAGTACAGGTAAGGGATTTCCAGACACAAGCAGGACACCTGGAGGCCCGGATACACAGCTTGGAATGTGAATTAGGGGCTGCTGTCCTCACTCCATATGTGGGGCGTCACATACATGAGGTGACTACTGCCATGGCAGCCCTCAGGGAAGCAGAGGGCCATTGGCAGGACTGGGGGTATGTGCCATAAAAAAGGGGAAAGCACCACTTCTGCAGGGGACCACCTCATGGAACAAGAAGGGGCGCCAGCAGGTTACCCACATGCAGATATGGGTTGATTTAATTTTGGCTGGGGTTGCCAGAGAGAAAATTGATAGGCAACCCAATGAAGTGCTGTTAACTTTGTGGAGGCAATTGTCCCCAAAGCAGCAATTCCAGAAAATGGGGGCAGGATGATGCTGCTTGACCCAGTCTCACCCAGCTGTTCCAGCTCAAGGACTACTTGCAGACAGGTGGTGGTATAGAGCTTTTTGGTTTGATTAGGGAGCTGGCCAAGGTGCCTGCCTTGAGGGGGACACCGGATGACTGAAGGCCACATGTGGAATTGGCAATCCACTGGTGAGCCCTAGACCTACTAGCCGCTGAGAAAGGGGACACATGTATATATCTCCAAGAAGAATGCTGCTTTTATGTTAATGAATCTGCCATTGTTCATGACGCAGCCCGCAGGCTCCTTGATAGGGCCACAGAAATCCAACGTCAAGTCAGAGACTTCTAGTGGCAAGGGTAATCCCTTCTAAAATGGATGATGTGGGTTGCCCTTTTCTTTGGGCCCCTAATCTTTTTCCTTCTGTGACTAACAATTGGCCAGTGCATACTTAATGTTATATCTCACTTCATCTCCCAAAGACTGAACTCTCTTATCCAGGCAATCACCCAGAAATGTATTGATACTGTCCTCCTCCTCCACCAAGTCCATTGTCAGAGCCTCCAGGAAAGCGACTCTGAAATCAAACACCTACCACTTTAAAACCTGAACCCTGATTACAATGCCCCTATTCAGCAGGAAGCAGCCATGTCCCCTTCCTTTTATACTAAAGTAAAGGACAGGAATGTTAGCCCAACCTGTGCCATCTTGTAGACCCCGCCATTTTACACACCCTGGACAGAGTGAAAAATTCCACTGGGTCTGGGCCATGAGAAACATCCTGTTGGGCAGGTCCCAGGACTAAGTGCCTGACCATGGGAAATTTCTCTCTTAGCAGCAGCTACCCACACCACCCCGTCCCATTTTGCAACACTCCCCTACCCATCCAGACCTATAACTGCCCTCGTCTATAAGTGGGGCTTGGGCTTTGGCACTCGCTGTTGTCCCCCTCTGCAAGCATCTTCCTCCAATAAACCTGTGTTGCTGTGGAGCCATGCCTCCCACCCCCTTGTCTCTGTCTCTTTTTCATCCCAACAATTATGAGCCTATATCCTGTCTTCATTCCTGTGGCTTTATTGTAATAATAAAATTCAGATATAGTAAGTACTCGAACTCAGTTCCTCCATTTCAAGATTGTTTTGGCTATTCTAGTCTTTTTATATTTCTGTATGTTTTACAGACCATCTTGTCCATTTTTACAAAAAACAAGCAAGCTAGGATTTTGATATGGATTGTACTAAATCTCTACCCCAACTTGAGGAGTTAGATTTAATTGTGTCTTCCAATACATGAGTGTGATATGTATCTGTATTTGTTTAGGTCTTCTGTAATTTCTCTCAACAATGTTTCCCACTTTTCAGTATAAAAGTAGAGAGACATTTGGTAGACAAGTAGACATTTGGTAAATGTCTAATCACGTTATGGTTTTAGAAAGTATTTTCATATTGTAATTTTATTACATTTCCCAATTATTCATTGTTACTATATAGAAAAACAATATATTTTTATATTTATTTGGTATTTTAAGACTGCTAAATTCACCTAGTAATTATGATTATTTTTTGGTAAATTATTTAGGATATTCTATACAGACAATTATATCATCTACATTTTCTTGTTATCTATTGCAACTTAATTCTCTTTCAGGTAACCAGCCAAGCATGAAAGCCATCCTGTGTCCATTCTTTTATAGAGTAGAGATAGTCATTTTTGGTATTTAGTTCATTCTTTTTTTTTTTTTTTTGCAAACTCTGCTCTCTGATGACCTTAGAAGAAAAAACAAGTATTTTTTTTTTAGTTGGCTTATTCTCATTAGTAGGGGAGGAGAAATTCTCATTTGAAAACTTCTCCAGCCTAAGAGGAAGCAGAAATCCTCTTTTTATTGTGGTTCTTTGTAATTATAAAATCAATATTATGTTTATTATTTTAAAAGTTTGTACAAATACAAAGAATAATTAATGTTATACTAATGGTCCCACCACCAAAAATTAAAAAAAAAATCCTTATAATGCCATTAGTTAATTTTTGTAAGATTAAAGCATTTTAAATAAAATCAAAGAACCACAAACCTGTCCTCACTCCACCCTCCCCTTGTCCTCTTATTCCCAGAGATTTCACTGCTATAAATTTACTGTGTATTCACCTCACACTTTAACCACAGGCATAAAGCAATAAAGCTAATATTACTTCTAAAAAATTCTGCTAAACAGTATCATAGTGTGCAAATAACTCTGTTTTCAAAAATGATACTTTTCAAGATTTATTTATGTTCATATACAGATCTAATTAATTGATTTTAACATATACGCTATTATAAATACATCTTAATTTATCTATTATATATGATAAACAGTTAGATAATTTCCTTTCTTTCCTTTCTTGTTTTTTGTTTTGTGTTATTTATTTGTTTGTTTTGGTAATCACAACCAGAGCCACAATATGCAACATTTTATTAATTTTCTGAAACACATGTATTAGAGTTTCTTCAAGGTCCATACCAGTCTAATAGGAATTTTCTGTGATAATGGGACTGTTCTATGATCTGTGCTGTTCAATATGGTTTCCATTAGGCACAGGTGGCTTCCTGAGCTCTTGAAATATGGGTAGTGAGGCCGGGCGCGGTGGCTCACGCCTGTAATCCCAGCACTTTGGGAGGCCGAGGCGGGCGGATCACGAGGTCAGGAGATCGAGACCATCCCGGCTAAAACGGTGAAACCCCGTCTCTACTAAAAATACAAAAAATTAGCCGGGCGTAGTGGCGGGCGCCTGTAGTCCCAGCTACTTGGGAGGCTGAGGCAGGAGAATGGCGTGAACCCGGGAGGCGGAGCTTGCAGTGAGCCGAGATCCCGCCACTGCACTCCAGCCTGGGCGACAGAGCAAGACTCCGTCTCAAAAAAAAAAAAAAAAAAAAAAAAAAAAGAAATATGGGTAGTGAGACTGAATAACTACATTTTTAATTTTATTATTATTTTTCATTATACTCTAAGTTCTAGGTTACATGTGCACAACATGCAGGTTGTTACATATGTATACATGTGCCATGTTGGTGTGCTGCACCCATTAACTCATCATTTAACATTAGGTATATCTCCTAAAGTTATCCCTCCCCCCTCCCCCCACCCCACGACAGGCCCGGGTGTGTGATGTTCCCCTCCTGTGTCCAGGTGTTCTCATTGTTCAATTCCCACCTATGAGTGAGAACATGGGGTGTTTGGTTTTTTGTCCTTGCGACAGTTTGCTGAGAATGATGGTTTCCAGCTTCATCCATGTTCCTACAAAGGACATGAACTCATCATTTTTTATGGCTGTATAGTATTCCATGGTGTATATGTGCCACATTTTCTTGATCCCGTCTATCATTGTTGGACATTTGGGTTGGTTCCAAGTCTTTGCTATTGTGAATAGTGCTGCAATAAACATAATGTGTGCAAGTGTCTTTATAGCAGCATGATTTATAATCCTTTGGGTATATACCCAGTAATGGGATGGCTGGGTCAAATGGTATTTCTAGTTCTAGATCCTTGAGGAATTGCCACACTGTCTTCCACAATGGTTAAACCAGTTTACAGTCCCACCAACACTGTAAAAGTGTTCCTATTTCTCCACATCCTCCCCAGCACCTGTTGTTTCCTGACTTTTTAATGATCGCCATTCTAACTGGTGTGAGATGGTATCTCATTGTGGTTTTGATTTGCATTTCTCTGATGGCCAGTGATGATGAGCATTTTTTCATGTGTCTTTTGGCTGCATAAATGTCTCCTTTTGAGAAGTGTCTGTTCATATCCTTCGCCCACTTTTTGATGGGGTTGTTTGTTTTTTTCTTGTAAATTTGTTTGAGTTCTTTATAGTTTCTGGATATTAGCCCTTTGTCAGATGAGTAGATTGCAAAAATTTTCTCCCATTCTGTAGGTTGCCTGTTCACTCTGATGAAGCAGGTTTCTTTCGCTGTGCAGAAGCTCTTTAGTTTAATTAGATCCCATTTGTCAATTTTGGCTTTTATTCAATTAGGAAAAGAGGAAGTCAAATTGTCCCTGTTTGCAGATGACATGATTGTATATCTAGAAAACCCCATCGTCTCAGCCCAAAATCTCCTTAAGCTGATAAGCAACTTCAGCAGAGTCTCACGATACAAAATCAATGTGCAAAAATCACAAGCATTCTTATACACTAATAACAGACAAACAGCCAAATCATGAGTGAACTCCCATTCACAACTGCTTCAAAGAGAATAAAATACCTACGAATCCAACTTACAAGGGATGTGAAGGACCTCTTCAGGGAGAACTATAAACCACTGCTCAATGAAATAAAAGAGGACACAAACAAATGGAAGAACATTCCATGCTCATGGGTAGGAAGAATCAATATTGTGAAAATGGCCATACCGCCAAAGGTAATTTGTAGATTCAATGCCATCCCCATCAAGCTACCAAAGTCTTTCTTCACAGAATTGGAAAAAAACTACTTTAAAGTTCATATGGAACCAAAAAAGAGCCCACATTGCCAAGACAATCCTAAGCCAAAAGAACAAAGCTGGAGGCATCATGCTACCTGACTTCAAACTATACTACAAGGCTACAGTAACCAAAAAAAGCATGGTACTGGTACCAAAACAGAGATATAGACCAATGGAACAGAACAGAGCCCTCAGAAATAATACCACACATCTACAACCATCTGATCTTTGACAAACCTGACAAAAACAAGAATGGGGAAAGGAATCCCTATTTAATAAATGGTACTGGGAAAACTGGCTAGCCATGTGTAGAAAGCTGAAACTGGATCCCTTCCTTACACCTTATACAAAAATTAATTCAAGATGGATTAAAGACTTAAATGTTAGACCTAAAACCATAAAAACCCTAGAAGAAAACCTAGGAATACCATTCAGGACATAGGCATGGGCAAGGACTTCATGTCTAAAACACCAAATTTTATAAATTTTAAATAAACATAATTTAAATAGCTACATGTGGCTGGTGTCTACCATATTTAGAGAGTACAGGTCTATTCCAAGGAACAGAATTATTAGATAATCAGGTATGCATATTTAAGCATTACTAGCTAATGTAGAATTGCTCTCCAGAATAGACTCCAATGTTTGTTTTCAACTGCCTGTAATATGCAATGATCTATTTCCCCATCTCCTTGGCTATATACTTAGTTTTATTAGTTTATACATTTTTTAGATAATTTGATGAGTATAAAATTGTATCTCATTAACGGTTGATTTGTAATTCCCTTTGTGGTGCTGTAATACTCATACATCTATCAAGGACTCTTTTTTCCTCCCTTTAAAATTATCTACTTATTTTTTCTTTGTAAGCGTCATCTTTTTTTCATTGTGGGAGTTCTTCATAAACTTGTCATTTTACTTGATAAAAGGTCATACTTAAAAGTCTGAGGCTTCTCATTCACTTGAATCTGTAGTCTTTTGTTACATAGTTGTTTAAATTTTTGATACATATCTATATTTTCCCTCATTGTTTCAAGTGTTAGTGCCTTTCCTAAGGAACCTTTTCTTATTATGATGTCACAAATGTATTCTGCTATGTCTACTGGGAGAATACACTAGTGGGGATAGTTCTGTGTATACAGTGATTAAGCACATAGGTTCTGGAGCCAGTCTGTTTCTTTCAAAATCACCTCATTGCTTTTGAAGAATCAGGTAAGTTAGTCAACTTGGTGTTTCAGTGCCTTTGTCTGTAATGACAAAAAAGATAGAAATGACGATATTAATAATACTTACCTCACAGAATTGTTCTGAGGTTTACACGTGTTAACAAAATGGAAGAGTTAGTACAACATTCAGCATGCTATGTTAGCTATTATCATTCTAAATGTTTAGCTGTGTTTTCTTTTTTTGGTTGGTTACTGTACATATATTATATGATGAATCTGTTCTATCATCTTTCACATGCATATCCAAATAACTAAACATTCTTCAGATGAATAATGTATATTATTTTCATCTTGAAGTTTTTGTCTATATAATTTTAGATATTCTTTTCTGTTCCATTGCTTTCTCTATTTTTGTGCCAAAACTGTTATTTTATTTAGCATAAACTTTATAGCAAGCCTTGAAGTTCTGTTCAGCAAATTTTTCTGTGCTCTTATTTTTTTTTTGTCTTAAAATTTTTTTTGGCTACTTAATCCTTATAATTCTGCCTATTAGCATTGCATCAGTTTGAGTTTTGTAATGACATTAAAAAGGTATTTATGATATCAGTATTCCTCACCATAGGATATTTATTCATCTTTAGTTCATTTTTATGACCTTCAAAAAGTTGTTTAATTTTTCCCATAAAAGCTTTGTAGATATATATATATTTAAAAATACTCTCTTTGGTGGTTTTTTGCTATTTAAAGTAGGTTTATACTGAAATTATAATTTTAATTGTCTGCAATATATGTAGAAAATTATTACTTATAGTTGTATGTTAACCTTTTCTACAGGCATTAATGGTTATAGCTAGGATAAACATCCCATTGGGTTGCAGCAGCATCTGGTTGTACTTAAGCTTTATTACTGGCACCTGAAAATTTTCATTTTTTTTCTTTCTAGCTCAGCAATGTATTTAATTTTTTAAAGATATGGTTTATACTATATTCTTCCCAGAAAAGAAGAGAAGTCTGTTGGTTTGGGTCCATTCTTTCATAATGTTTGAACTTAAATTCTCTATATAAATTTTAAAATTATTGATTCATGTTCCATAAATAACTGAAGATTTCCTTCTTCTTTCATAAATATGTAAATAATTTGTAGCTAATTATCTTTTCAATATTGAATGTTCTTCTCATTAAAAATAATATGTCCCAAATCATACAGATATTTATGTTCATAAATAACATTTTGTTCTAGTTATTTCCCAGTTAATATTTTTTAATTATTGTATATTTTCCATCTACTATAGTATAACTTGGTTATTTCTGATGGACAAGAATGAGGTTTTTTTTAGATGTAAATCTTCAATCCAATGTATTTGGTCATAGAACTGTGAGTTAACAAATACTGTTTTAAGCTATTAAGTTTGTAATAATTTGTTATGCAGCAATAGAAAACTAATACAATTGACTTGCTTCTAACTTTAATAAGTTAAATGCTCTACAATTATGTCAGATGTTTTCTTTAGGATCCTAGTAAATATATTTTATCAAATTAAGAAACTTTGTTTCTGTTTCTCATTTATGATTGTTTAAATTAAAAATCAATGTAAAATTATGTTTAATGCTTTTCTGCATCTGTAATATAATCATATCATATTTCTCTTTTGATATGTTACTCTGGATATTAGTAGTGTTTCATTTTCTAATACTGAATCTGCCCTGCATTTCTGGATCATGATTACATTTCTATTATTCTATATTAAGCTAATAATATGTACTTGTCACTTATCTCTAGAATCTACCTATGATGAGTGTTTTCTCTTAGTTTTATATCTTACTGGACATTATTTGAATCATCTTAAGGCACTGGGTAGAAGTACTTAGACAGGTATGCTCAGGTTGATATCCCATCCAGAAGTTGTAATAATTTTCTTGTCAAAGTTCATCTTTGCCCAAGGGCCTTGAAGTGAATAAAAACTATGGCAAGATACTGCCATAGGTTGGGGTTTTTTTTGAGCAAGCAGATTTGAAAACAGTTGAGCACACAGTTGAGCATCCACTAACACTTGTGGAAGGGAAGGGAAGAAAGCAGGATTGGGCAGAGTAGGAAGTGAAGCTACCTGCAGTCCCAATATCAGTGTCAGCCTGGGCAGTTCTTGAGTTAGAATGGCCATCCAGAGTTGTCTAGACTGCACGTGAGCCATCCCAGGAAGGACATAACCTCGCGGAAAGTGGCTTTCTGAAGCTGAGACAATTCCCTGAAGTGCTGACATCTGAAAGCTGTCTACTGTCAGCACTCCCAGCAACTGGGACACCAAGTCTTTCCTTGAAATGAGAGTTGGGTTATACCCAGAGTATCCACTACAGACATGTATGAAGAGACAATAAAACAAAACTTCTGCAGACTTGAATGATCCATTCAGGCAAGGACAATGCTGATGTTGGCTGTCCTAAATGGGATGGCCTGGCACTCTTGAAAAATCTCAAATACATTAAAAGGAACCTTGTGTATTACCATAGATATAAACATATTATGCATTGCTTTGTATAATGCACCTCTTGCAGAATGACTATCAGATATTTTCAGTGTTTAGAGTTTCTTCCTTCTCTGAAATGTGGAAGGCTTATCATGGCCTAAGTAACCTTCCAGCCAATGAGAGGTAGGAAATTATTACATATCCTGAGCCATAATTATTCCAACTGCAAATTTTATAAAACAAAAGTAAATATCTTCTGGTATGTGAGGTTTTAGCTGCAACAAGGCTCTCCTCCAGTGCCGTGCCACCTGGATGGTATAGCTTAGGATCTGTGCAGACAAGAGAATGTCAAGTTTCTCTCCAGCCCAGCTCAAATGGACAAAGAGGTCATTTTATATTTTATCACCTAAGAATTTGATTTGAAAAGAGGATCAGAAACCACAGGAAATTTGATTTATGCCAGCCCTGCATCCAAGGTACCCACAGAAGAATAATATACTTGTTTTTATGAGATAGTACTGATCCAAATGGGGGCACAATATAAAAATGGCTTATGGTTTGGCCACAGGGTCAGTCCAAAGGTCAAAGCCTCAAGTACAGTTCATTTGTTAGCAGATTTCAGAACAACTAATTTCACCTGTATTGGATTTATTTTTCCAGCCTCTTCAAAACCATTTTGTTTAGATTTATATCACAACTTCCCTCTCTTTTTTTCCATTTATTAAATTTGAAAAGCTTTCCAAATACTGTTTCACCAACTTGTACCACTATACAAGTGACAAAACTTTTATTAAAACCATTTTTTTTTAGAGTAAATCTGGAAAATAAGGAAGTAAAACAATTACTTTGGGTCTGAGTTTTGATGGATAATATAGTCTAGTTTGAAAACCTAACTACACACATTTGCCACACTAATATTTTTGTATACTTTGGCAAATGGTTAATATCTTTAATAAATGGTTAAATTCCAAGAAAAATTTTGGCTCACAAGCTTTATTTCATTTCTTATGTTGGACCTTTACAGTTATCAGTCCAAACTGTTGATGATTCAGTGTCTGATATATTCTGCCTTCCAGAAAACTTTAATCCTTCTTGTTTACCTCAAAGTTCAATATAAACACATTCAGTGCAAAGTCTTATCTAAAATTCACGTTGTTGAAAAAGACATTTTCCTTATTCATGTAAAGTTACTCATGTAAAAATATGAAACATCAAGAGTAGTGTCTCATAAATTTTGTGTTTCAAATGGAAAGACTTTACATGACTTAGACTTAATATGGCTTAGATTGTGTGGCTAAAAACATAAATAGGTAATAAGTCAAAACAGGCTAAGTGGTTATTGATATCCATTGCTTAATTTAGAATATGACAACAATGATTTATCTTATATTTCTTTTTGAGGAGAAATAATAGGATGCAGAAGAGATTCAGTATTTTTAGAGGTAACCAGAATGCCCTTGGAAAGTTTTCTTTTTTTTTTTTTTTCCAGAGATGGGGTTTTGACATATTGCCCAGGCTGGTCTCAAACTTCTGAGCTCAAGTGATTTGCCTGCCTCGGCCTCCCCAGTTGCTGGGTTTACAGGCATGAGCCAGCATGCCCGGCCCCTTGGATAAGATTTTTTTTTTTAATACTTTAAGTTTTAGGGTACATTTGCACAATGTGCAGGTTTGTTACATATGTATACATGGGCCATGTTGGTGTGCTGCACCAATTAACTCGTCATTTAGCATTAGGTATATCTCCTAATGCTATCCCTCCCCCCTCCCCCCACCCCACAACAGTCCCCGGTGTGTGATGTTTCCCTTCCTGTGTCCATGTGTTCTCATTGTTCAATTCCCGCCTATGAGTGAGAACATGTGGTGTTTGGTTTTTTGTCCTTGCAATAGTTTGCTGAGGATGATGGTTTCCAGCTTCATCCATGTCCCTACAGAGGACATGAACTCATCATTTTTTATGGCTGCATAGTATTCCATGGTGTATATATGCCACATTTTCTTAATCCAGCCTATCGTTGTTGGACATTTGGGTTGGTTCCAAGTCTTTGCTGTAGTGAATAATGCCGCAAGAAACATACATGTGCATGTGTCTTTATAGCAGCATGATTTATAGTCCTTTGGTATATACCCAGTAATGGGATGGCTGGGTCAAATGGCATTTCTAGTTCTAGATCCCTGAGGAATCACCACACTGACTTCCACAATGATTCAACTAGTTTACAGTCCCACCAACAGTGTAAGAGTGTTCCTATTTCTCCACATCCTCTGCATCACCTGTTGTTTCCTGACTTTTTAATGATCGCCATTCTAACTGGTGTGAGATGGTATCTCATTGTGGTTTTGATTTGCATTTCTCTGATGGCCAGTGATGATGAGCATTTTTTCATGTGTTTTTTGGCTGCATAAATGTCTTCTTTTGAGAAGTGTCTGTTCATATCCTTCACCCACTTTTTGATGGGGTTGTTTGTTTTTTTCTTGTAAATTTGTTTGAGTGAGCTCATTGTAGATTCTGAATATTAGCCCTTTGTCAGATGAGTAGGTTGCAAAAATTTTCTCCCATTCTGTATGTTGCCTGTTCACTCTGATGGTGGTTTATTTTGCTGTGCAGAAGCTCTTTAGTTTAATTAGATCCCATTTGTCAATTTTGGCTTTTGTTGCCATTGCTTTTGGTGTTTTAGACATGAAGTCCTTGCCCATGCCTATGTCCTGAATGGTATTGCCTAGGTTTTCTTCTAGGGTTTCTATGGTTTTAGGTCTAACATGTAAGTCTTGAAACCATCTTGAATCAATTTTTGTATAAGGTGTAAGGAAGGGATCCAGTTTCAGCTTTCCACATATGGCTAGCCAGTTTTCCCAGCACCATTTATTAAATAGAAAATCCTTTCCCCATTGCTTGTTTTTGTCAGATTTGTCAAAGATCAGATAGTTGTAGATATGGGGCATTATTTCTGAGGGCTCTGTTCTGTTCCATTGATCTATATCTCTGTTTTGGTACCAGTACCATGCTGTTTTGGTTACTGTAGCCTTGTAGTATAGTTTGAAGTCAGGTAGCGTGATGCCTCCAGCTTTGTTCTTTTGGCTTAGGATTGACTTGGCAATGCGGGCTCTTTGTTGGTTCCATATGAACTTTAAAGTAGTTTTTGCCAATTCTGTGAAGAAAGTCATTGGTAGCTTGATAGGGATGGCATTAAATCTATAAATTACCTTCAGCAGTATGGCCATTTTCACGATAGTGATTCTTCCTACCCATGAGTATGGAATGTTCTTCCATTTGTTTGTATCCTCTTTTATTTCATTGAGCAGTGGTTTGTAGTTCTCCTTGAAGAGGTCCTTCACATCCCTTGTAAGTTGGATTCCTAGCTGTTTTATTCTCTTTGAAGCAATTGTCAATGGGAGTTCACTCATGATTTGGCTTTCTGTTTGTCTGTTATTGGTGTAGAAGAATGCTTGTGATTTTTGCACATTGATTTTGTATCCTGAGACTTTGCTGAAGTTGCTTATCAGTTTAAGGAGATTTTGGGCTGAGACAATGGGGTTTTCTAGATATACAATCATGTCATCTGCAAACAGGGACAATTTGACTTCCTCTTTTCCTAAATGAATGCCCTTTATTTAAGATTTTTTTAAAGATAAAAATAAGACTGTAGTGGGAGATGAACGATGAGAATACATGGACACATGGGGCAGAACAACACACACTGGGGCCTGTTGTGGGGAGCAGGGGGAGGGAGAATACCGGGAAGAACAGCTAATGGGTGTGGGGCTTAATACCTGGGTGATGGGTTGGTCTGTGCAGTAAATAACTGTGGCACACGTTTACCTATGTAATAAACGTGCACATCCTGCACATGTACCCTGGAACTTAAAAGTTGATGTGAAAAAAGAAAACATACACACACACACCCATACACACACACACACACACACACACACTCACACACACACTAAGGATTTCCAGAATTAATTCAATGGATAATTAGCTGGTTATGAAGCCAAAAACATGGCCCTGCCCCTGGTTTATAGAGATATAGATGGTATAGATATAGATACAGATATAGATATAGATATCCATAATGTGAATAAAAATAGGGCTGTAAGACCACCGATCTAGAAAACTCTCAGAATAAGCAGAAATTAAGTCATGTTATTTCCCTTCAGGTTAGTGCACTGACCATATATTGAGATAGGCTGTGACATAATGTGTATTGGAGTTGAAATACTCACAGTTGCCAGGCGCGGTGGCTCATGCCTGTAATTCCAGAACTTTGGGAGGCCGAGGCGGGTGGATCACGAGGTCAGGAGATCGAGACCATCCTGGCTAACATGGTGAAACCCTGTCTCTACTAAAAATACAAACAATTAGCTGGGCGTGGTGGCGGGCGCCTGTAGTCCCAGCTACTCGGGAGGCTGAGGCAGGAGAATGGCGTGAACCCAGGAGGCGGGGCTTGCAGTGAGCGGAGATCACGCCACTGCACTCCAGCCTGGGCGACAAAGGGAGATTCTGTCTCAAAAAAAAAAAAAAAAAAAAAAAAAAGCTAAAAAGAAATACTCCTAGTCCCCATTATTTAGAAGAGATTAGATTCTTAGATTTTCTTAAACTAAAATTAAAGAAGTATATCTGAACTCCACAGAGTGGAAAACATGTCTTAATGAGTACTCAGTGGTTGTTAAAGTAAGGGCAATGACTAGAACAAAAACTAAGAGGAAAACATGCCAATCCATCTTGCTAGAATTTTAAGACAATATGCCACCTTCATTCTCTCTTTCTCTCTCTTTTCCTCTGTCCCCTAAACTGTATGCTGCTCATTACCTGTCTTGCCTCCCTCCCTTCATCTCCCCAGCTTGACACACTTTCCCTTATTTTATTATATGATTTATTCCCATTTGTGGAATTTTCCAAGTGACATGGAGAAAAGGTTATCCTGGGGCTTCATCAAAATTCTTCTCTAAGACTGTAAGAATAAATTAAAGCAGGCGTGTGGCATCTCTGCTGGTGGGGAATGGCTACCCATGTTTAACAGTGTAACTTAATATTAACAAAATTAATTGCTAGGCTTGAGTACTCTCCAGCTCACATCAAAAGTCTTCAGCCTACTGTTCCAAGTATATATTTTCAGCATGGTTTTCTAGTCTATATAATGTAGATACTAATTAAGTCCTGTGGTCATTTTTTTCCAATAATAGCTTGTTTCCAATAGTAGGAATGGTTTTTATTGGTTTAACTTATATTTTTCTATGTTTATCATCACATCTCTTATGTCTGATTCCAATTTACCAATTATTACGGTTTAACAGCCAAGTTTTAAATATTAATTATATTTATGTTTTAAATATATTTGTTATATATACTATATATAACATGATATATAGTATATATAACATGATATATAGTATATATAACATGATATATAGTATATATAACATTATATATAACATATATAGTATATATAACATTATATATATATATATATATTATATATATATATATATATATATCTCCCAGAAATTTGACAACATTTTTTATTCCAAAAATAAAAGCATCCAGCAAAGAAGCCAAAAACATGGCCCTGCTCAGGTTTAAACCATCTGACTTCAGGGACATAATTACAGGCAGAAACTGACTTAGGTCCAATTATGTGCAGGGATCTAGCTGGGTGCCTCCTGTTTCTTCAAAGATGAGTAGCCAGAATTAGAATTTAAATTGTCAGCTCAAAGAAACACAGGATGTATTTAGTTTCTGCTAGTTAAAGAGTCATCTGAGAACCCAGAAGGGAAGACTCATGTCATTGATATATTTCTCTGAGCTTGATCCTAGTTTTTAGGTTAGAAAGGGGTCCTAGGTTCCTGAGAAACTGTAAACTTAACACTCTTTTCAATTACTTTGTACTTTATGAAATACCTTATGGCCAGAGCCTGCTATTCAATGCAAATGAATGTAACTCTATTCTCCCACATTGCACATAAGGGATGGAGTGTGGAGGGGGGAGGGAAATGGAGGGGAAAATGAAAATCTCTTGAAATAATAATAGTAATTAGTTTCTCTATTTGAAAACTCTAAGTTTCATTAAACAGCAATAATAACCAGCAGTAAGTAAACTGCCACCCCCAGGAGAGGGAAAAATGTCAAATTTCATCCTAAAAAGACTTGTGAAAACACAGGCACAGTCAATTCCATTTTATTCTGAAGATTTATTTCATACCAGTCAAAATTAATTCAAACCTGTCTCCCTGATGCAATGAGTGTGAAGAACTAAACTTACTGTCATTGGATTTTGCTACATCTCACCATCTCTAAATATTGAATATGGATGGCAGAAAAAAGCTATTGTTTGAAATTTGTGTTAAGGAAGCTTTAGTTCAAAAAAAATGCTGATACAATAGTGTGTGAGCATATGTGTGTGTGTGTGTGTGTGTGAGAGAGAGAGAGAGAGAGAGCGAGAGAGAACCAGAGAGAAAGAACCAGGGAAAGAGAGAAAAAGAGAGAGATTTTCCTTTTGGGGGATCTATTTCTGTATATACACCTCTCCTTTGTATCATATAAATGTAATAAAACCAGGGAAGGGGGGAGGGGCTCATTTTAGCCTTCCTGAAAGAAAGGCTTTAGTGCTAAATGTTATGTAAAATGATTTCACTCACCACTAAAGAAGTGACATATTTGAAAAATGATACGGCAGTTCTTTGAAATTCACTAAGGAGTTCCAGAATTAATTCAATGGATAATTAGCTGGTTATGGAGCCAAATCACAACTTGCATGTTGCAATTAAAATAGTAAACAATCATTTCACTTACTGTATGACTGTTTTCCTTGTGAACTGAAAAAATTTATTACAAAATATGAAATCAGGGAACCTAGAATGTACATATTTACAGGTATTTATGGAATCTCAAATTCTATTCCAGGTGAATTTAGAAAAAAATAGTTTAAACAATAGTCAATATTCTTTCTTTGACAAGGCAGGTACCCTAATTCCGCTACCTGAAGTTGGCATAATATCTATTAACAGCTAATGCCAAAATCAAAAAAATTCTATAATTCACATAATATAATAGACAATAATGTTAATGATAGGTAAAATGTATGCCTAATTCATTTAAACAGATTCCCTTCTCTTATCACCCATCAATCCAATTACAGCAAAACCCAAATTAGTAAGCTTTTACCAGTATCATGCATTGCATACATTGTACTAAATGAGAACATAGTATATACACATAAAGAAATGCTTTCAAGTGAGTTTGAACTACCCTTCTTTTGGGGCTCCAGAACAAATCAGCACCCATTTGGCCTTTTAAAATCCATTAAAAGGTTGGTCAGTATCTTCTTAGTGATTAGTAAGGCAGCCAACACTCTCTCCCATGCTTTGTCAAAGGTCAGACATATTGCATGTCTTGTCTCTCCTAAGAGGGGTTTGTCCATCTTTGGAATCTTTAAACATGATTCAGGTTTACTAGCCTCAGCTCTCTGATGGGCTCAAAAAAAGTTATGATTCCACCAATTATCTAGATTTTTCTTGTTGCAAGTGAAGAAGACACTATTTTAATAGTTTCCTACATACTATGCAGAACTAGAGGTGACCTAATAAACATTTGTGTGTGTGTGTGTGCGCGTATATATATATATGTATATAGTATATATACATATATACACATGTGTATATATACGTATATACACACGTATATACGTATATATGTATATATGTATATATACATATATACATATATACACGTGTATATATGTAAAAAAATACATACATACGTATATATGTATATATACATATATATACGTGTATATATACACACACATATATATATAATTTTTTTTTTTTGAGATGAAGTCTGGCTCTGTAGCCCAGGCTGGAGTGCAGTGGCGCTATCTCGGCTCACTGCAAGCTCCGCCTCGCGGGTCCACGCCATTCTCCTGCCTCTGCCTCCCCAGTAGCTGGGACTACAGGCGCCCGCCACCACATCTGGCTTATATTTTGTATTTTTAGTAGAGACGGGGTTTCACTGTGTTAGTCAGGATGGTCTCAATCTCCTGACCCCCTGATCCATCTGCCTCGGCCTCCCAAAGTGCTGGGATTACAGGTGTGAGCCACCGTGCCTGGCCACACTTGTTTATATTTTTAATTGTTGTAAACATTGTTCACAATAGGTACATAATATTCCACAGCAATTATCTACCATAATTTACTTGACTATTGCACTGTTGTTAAATGTTTTTTTCCACTTTTTTACCATTAAGAAAGAAATTGCAGTAAGTATGTTTATGCACATAGCTTATTTTTTATTCAGTATTACTTCCTTAGGACAGGTCCATAAATACAAAATACTTCTTTAAAAAAGAATAGGGTCAGACTCCAACTGATGGGTTTGAATCAAGTTCTACCATTGATTGTCTGTATTCTTCAGGTAGTTGGGTAACCCTCCAAGCATTTTTTGTAAAATATTTTCATTTTGCAAAATAATAATAGTAGCATCTGTCTCTTAAAGTTGCTGTGACAAGTAAATGAAATAGCACAAATGCAGTGCCTGGGAGTGGATCATCATAAGGGAAGCATGCAATTATTGTTATTATAAGATAATCTTTTTATAGATTTTTACAAATGACTTTCCATAATTATTGAGCATTTCACACCATCCTAAAATGTTTAACAAAGGCCTGCCTTTAGAAATCTTTTATATTTATTTTCATCCAGAAAACATAAGTTCTCTTATGTACATTGTTTTATTATCACATATGTTGTATGATATAGTCAAAACGCCAGGGCTATGTATGAAGGCAAATATACTTGGGATCAAATCCTGGTTTCGTATTTAACCATTTACAAACTTGGAATTTATTTTTAACTTCTCGATTTTCAAGTCCCTCATGATATTAATAATTACTCCTAGTCATTAAAAGGATTAGAAATAATATAGGTAAATTACTTAGACATATTGCATACTCAAAATAGGCTTCTCATCCTAAATGCACATTAGAATTACCTAGAGATCTGATGTCCAGCTGCATCCCAAGCCATTCCCATCTAAATTTGGAGGCTGGCCCCAAGTCAGTATGTTGTTACCCCTCCCTAGGTGAGACAAATAGTCAGCTGGTCAAACCACTGCCTCCTTACCATATTATAGGCTTAATAACAACCAAAATGCATAAATGACTTTATAATTTACATATCACTTCCATAAACATAATGGGATTTGATTACTACAAAATATTTGAAGCATTATTTTCATTGAAAATTCTTATATTTTTACAAATGTAAGTGGATTATGAACTATGATAATGAGTAATGTTGGCACAATTCCCTTTGCTCTATCTCAAATTCATGGTATTTCATGTTAGCTCATAAAATTGACACCAGATCTGTTTACAAATCTCTTGTCACATTTATATCATATATCATAACACCTCAAGCACAAAGTTTTTATTTAAAAAAGCCAGTCAAATCCTTCACAAAATCTCTGATTTTCTTCTGCCTCTTATTCAGTGACCTGATCATAGATACATAGACAGATGGATAAATAGATAGAATACCAAAAGTTGCAAATAACTTCATCTTATATGTAACCTGCCACCCCCCACCCTTTCTTTGCTATGAACACCAAGAACCTAGGTCTATAGGCATTAAAAACACTGTTGAAACTTGAAAAGAGTAAAATAATTGGTTGGGATTTCAGAAACACTGATCTTCATACAGAATCCAACAGAAAGGCCCTACTGATGAATGAAGAAGTGGCTTTCTAGATTATTGTAAAACAATGATTTTGTAAAACAGCATCATGTGTTACTCCCTTCCACTACTAAAAAAGGTACAACATGCTTTTTCTGGCCCCTCTGTGTATGACTACTTGACTTAGATAACTCATATTGTCCTGTAAGTTTTTACAGCTCAGTTCTTACTGGATTTTGTATTAGAACCTTATAATTTAAGAAAATAAAAAAGGTATTTTCTTGGACTATTGAAAAAGTACCTGTTTGGGGCTATTTCAAAGATACATGGAGTCCCAACATATTAATACTTGTTAAAATAAGAGTATCGGTGACATAATGGTATAGCTTGAAAAGCAAACAATATATCTTTAAAATAAATTATACAGGTTTAATAGAAAATGATACCTCAATATCACTGGCCAATGTGATATAAAAAGTCTAGCTGCATTTAGCCAATAGATGCGACTATTTTGGCCTCTAAAATTTCTACTCCTGCTTCTAAGTGTCCTTGTTGCCTGTTTTTAGATATCACAATATTATGAAACATTCCAAAAGATGCATACAAAATAAAACTCTTCTGCTGACTCAGCTTCTGTTGTATCTCAACCCAATAATGATATGTTGAGAATTAAGACTCTGTCTACTATAGCATATATTTTAATTATACTTTTATAAACCTGAATAAAATATAATTAAAATGTACTTACTATAGAGCTACAATAGAGCTACAATATGAGAAGTCTATTATTTTAATGCACACATTATAGAAAATGTAATTGACTTCTTAACAAAACCAGAAACTCTGCCTCATAACCAGGAAAATTAATCTCTACGCTGGGTAGATTTATTAGGAGTTATTATTATCCTAAGCTAAAAAGTTAAAACAAGTAAATATTTTATAAGGGGTCATTATTAACAAATGTACATTGATTCCCTCCTCTTCCCAGATTTTTTCCACCCTATTGTTCACTTAAGGGAAAAGCAGGTTGATTTACTTATTTCAATATTTTCTTCTCAATTTGTGTCTGGAAAGTACCTTGTGAGTATGATCTCTAATGTTTCTTGCTGACATGTAGCAGGATTATTGCTGTAGATTTAGGAAAACAGAATCCCAACACAGTGTACAAGATGGTGCTCCATGACATGCCACTTCCAAAGACATAAATTTTTCCTTAGCAGGAGCACAATGCTTCTTGTTATTGTAACCAAATTCTCATTGATTAAAACAAAAACTCAGCCTGCATAAGTAACCAGCTGCAATTAGTTATTTAAGCTGTATCTACTACACAAGGCAATTTTTATACAGTAGTGCAAGCAAAAAAAGATCACTTTATCTTTCTTTTTCTATCTATCATTATAAATCCAGAGAAAAATTAATGGTTCTTCAGAAAAACTACTTTTTAATAAGTCAGACATTCTTGGTTAAAACAAAAATGTTGATGAAATGTTTAGTATGGTTTAATAAAAATAAAAGCTAAAGTATATATGGAGTTGGGGGGTTTTATTCAAATAATTTATGACAATCATTTGATGAAGAAAATCTTATTAACTATTTTCAATTTGGGAATAAAGAGGTAGCTAATTACCTCCTCAAAATAGGTTAAAACATGGGATTAGGTTGCTCAAGAGAGATAATAGTTGTTTACAAGAAATACAATTTCTATGTCTGTAAATATTTTAGCTGCTTAAGTGTAGTAATCCAATAGACAAGCTGTCTGTATTTTTAAAATATAAACAGGATAATTTACATTTGACAATGTCTAGTCAGTATAAAGCCAAAATGTTGCTAGTCAGAAGTTGTCAGGGGTAATTGACTTCAACCTTATATTTTTCTTTTTAATACCTGACAATTTACAATATGAGCTTTCCCTTGGAAACCTCCTCATTTTCTCTGGACTGTCTGCCCGGAGGAACACCGAGTGGCTAATTCACAGTTTGCCTTCAGTAAATTCCGTGAACTGGTTGTTACTAGAAAAGCAATGTAATGCTTGTGTGATTGATTTAGTCAGGTAAAATAACAACGTGTGATAATTGGTCACTTGTGGTTGGAATACTAGCACAGACTTCCACATGGATATCATAATCCCAGTGACTACTTGCCCATATTAGGAGAGTCTGGTCATCTATGAAAGCTAACAGCCAGCAAGGGAATGGCTAAGATCCCAGCGGTGAGTGTATAATTAATTCCCAAGGACTCCACAGGACACTTTCTCTTCTCTCCAGAACTTTATAGATGAAGGCAGAGTATTATTTGTAAAAGCTCTCTGCTTGTCCTCAGTCAAGGTCATGAGAATTTCAGAAATAAATTCACAAAATGGATGCACTGCACTCAACATCTTCATGTGTTAAAGATACAAATAAAATTTACCTGGAAAAAATAGCCACTGATCATAGACAGAGCAGAAGTACTTTCAAGAAGACTGAATCCATGCTTTGCACAATTAAGCAGTGCTACCCACCCAGTGAGGATGCCTTATAGTAGCTCATATTTTCATAACAAACTGACTGGTAAATTTAAATGAAAAGTTTAGTGGGTACAACAGTGAGTGACCTGCTAATGAGTTGTTAAATCAAAGAAATAAGGAAAGTAAGATAAAAAGAATAGCTTATTTAAGCAAAAATCACAAGTCTAATAAGACACAGCGGCTACATAGCAGTTTATTCTAATCCAAAGCTATACTTCGATTTATAAAAAGGGAGAAAACCTACATAATATCCTCAATAAATGTCTTCCATGTCTGTTGGGATAGAATGTTGCAGTAGTTTTGCTATAGCTTCAAATTCAAAATGCACAATATTAAGTTTGTTTTTTTTAATTTAATTTAATTTTATTATTATTATACTTTAAGTTTTAGGGTACATGTGCACAATGTGCAGGATTCTTACATATGTATACATGTGCCATGTTGGTGTGCTGCACCCATTAACACGTCATTTAGCATTAGGTATATCTCCTAATGCTATCCCTCCCCCCTCCGCCCACCCCACAACAGTCCCCGGTGTGTGATGTTCCCCTTCCTGTGTCCATGTGTTCTCGTTGTTCAATTCCCACCTATGAGTGAGAACATGTGGTGTTTGGTTTTTTGTCTTTGCGATAGTTTGCTGAGAATGATGATTTCCAGTTTCATCCATGTCCCTACAAAGGACATAAACTCATCATTTTTTATGGCTGCATAGTATTCCATGGTGTATATATGCCACATTTTCTTAATCCAGCCTATCGTTGTTGGACATTTGGGTTGGTTCCAAGTCTTTGCTATTGTGAATAGTGCCGCAAGAAACATACATGTACATGTGTCTTTATAGCAGCATGATTTATAGTCCTTTGGTATATACCCAGTAATGGGATGGCTGGGTCAAATGGCATTTCTAGTTCTAGATCCCTGAGGAATCACCACACTGACTTCCACAATGATTCAACTAGTTTACAGTCCCACCAACAGTGTAAGAGTGTTCCTATTTCTCCACATCCTCTGCATCACCTGTTGTTTCCTGACTTTTTAATGATCGCCATTCTAACTGGTGTGAGATGGTATCTCATTGCGGTTTTGATTTGCATTTCTCTGATGGCCAGTGATGATGAGCATTTTTTCATGTGTTTTTTGGCTGCATAAATGTCTTCTTTTGAGAAGTGTCTGTTCATATCCTTTGCTCACTTCTTGATGGGGTTGTTTGTTTTTTTCTCGTAAATTTGTTTGAGTTCATTGTAGATTCTGGATATTAGCCCTTTGTCAGATGAGTAGGTTGCAAAAATTTTCTCCCATTTTATAGGTTGCCTGTTCACTCTGATGGTAGTTTCTTTTCTTTTGCTGTGCAGAAGCTCTTTAGTTTAATTAGATCCCATTTGTCAATTTTGGCTTTTGTTGCCATTGCTTTTGGTGTTTTAGAGATGAAGTCCTTGCCCGTGCCTATGTCCTGAATGGTATTGCCTAGGTTTCCTTCTAGGGTTTGTATGGTTTTAGGTCTAACATGTAAGTCTTTAATCCGTCTTGAATTAATTTTTATATAAGGTGTAAGGAAGGGATCCAGTTTCAGCTTTCTACATATGGCTAGCCAGTTTTCCCAGCACCATTTATTAAATAGGGATTCCTTTCCCCATTGCTTGTTTTTGTCAGATTTGTCAAAGATCAGATAGTTGTAGATATGGGGCATTATTTCTGAGGGCTCTGTTCTGTTCCATTGGTCTATATCTCTGTTTTGGTACCAGTACCATGCTGTTTTGGTTACCGTACCCTTGTAGTATAGTTTGAAGTCAGGTAGCATGATGCCTCCAGCTTTGTTCTTTTGGCTTAGGATTGACTTGGCAATGTGGGCTCTTTCTTGGTTCCATATGAACTTTAAAGTACTTTTTCCAATTCTGTGAAGAAAGTCATTGGTAGCTTGATGGGGATGGCGTTGAATCTATAAATTACCTTGGGCAGCATGGCCATTTTCATGATATTGATTCTTCCAACCCATGAGCATGGAATGTTCTTCCATTTGTTTGTATCCTCTTTTATTCCTTTGAGCAGTGGTTTGTAGTTCTCCTTGAAGAGCTCCTTCACATCCCTTGTAAGTTGGATTCCTAGGTATTTTATTCTCTTTGAAGCAATTGTGAATGGGAGTTCACTCATGATTTGGCTTTCTGTTTGTCTGTTATTGGTGTAGAAGAATGCTTGTGATTTTTGCACATTGATTTTGTATCCTGAGACTTTGCTGAAGTTGCTTATCAGTTTAAGGAGATTTTGGGCTGAGAAAATGGGGTTTTCTAGACATACAATCATGTCATCTGCAAACAGGGACAATTTGACTTCCTCTATTCCTAATTGAATACCCTTTATTTCCTTCTCCTGCCTAATTACCCTGGCCAGAACTTCCAACATTATGTTGAATAGGAGTGGTGAGAGAGGGCATCCCTGTCTTATGCCAGTTTTCAAAGGGAATGCTTCCAGTTTTTGCCCATTCAGTATGATATTGGCTGGGGGTTTGTCATAGATAGCTCATATTATTTTGAGATACATCCCATCAATACCTAATTTATTGAGAGTTTTTAGCATGAAGGGTTGTTGAATTTTGTCAAAGGCCTTTTCTGCATCTATTGAGATATCATGTGGTTTTTGTCTTTGGTTCTGTTTATATGCTGGATTACATTTATTGATTTGCGTATGTTGAACCAGCCTTGCATCCCAGGGATGAAGCCCACTTGATCATGGTGGATAAGCTTTTTGATGTGCTGCTGGATTCGGTTTGCCATTATTTTATTGAGGATTTTTGCATCAATGTTCATCAAGGATATTGGTCTAAAATTCTCTTTTTTGGTTGTGTCTCTGCCAGGCTTTGGTATCAGGATGATGCTGGCCTCATAAAAGGAGGTTTTTTCTATTGATTGGAATAGTTTCAGAAGGAATGGTACCAGCTCCTCCTTGTACCTC
Source organism: Homo sapiens (assembly GCF_000001405.40). Lineage (NCBI taxonomy): Eukaryota > Metazoa > Chordata > Mammalia > Primates > Hominidae > Homo > Homo sapiens. The sequence continues at coordinate 89,461,592 of NC_000007.14, forward strand.
TGGTAGAATGTGGCTGTGAATCCATCTGGTCCTGGACTCTTTTTGGTTGGTAAGCTATTGATTATTGCCACAATTTCAGAGCCTGTTATTGGTCTATTCAGAGATTCAACTTCTTCTTGGTTTAGTCTTGGGAGGGTGTATGTGTCAAGGAATTTATCCATTTCTTCTAGATTTTCTTTTTCTTTTTATACTTTAAGTTTTAGGGTACATGTGCACATTGTGCAGGTTAGTTACATATGTATACATGTGCCATGCTGGTGCGCTGCACCCACTAACTCGTCATCTAGCATTAGGTATATCTCCTGATGCTATCCCTCCCCCCTCCCCCCACCCCACCACAGTCCCCAGAGTGTGATATTCCCCTTCCTGTGTCCATGTGATCTCATTGTTCAATTCCCACCTATGAGTGAGAATATGCGGTGTTTGGTTTTTTGTTCTTGAGATAGTTTACTGACAATGATGATTTGCAATTTCATCCATGTCCCTACAAAGGACATGAACTCATCATTTTTTTATGGCTGCATAGTATTCCATGGTGTATATGTGCCACATTTTCTTAATCCAGTCTGTCATTGTTGGACATTTGGGTTGGTTCCAAGTCTTTGCTATTGTGAATAATGCTGCAATAAACATAAGTGTGCCTGTGTCTTTATAGCAGCATGATTTGTAGTCCTTTGGGCATATACCCAGTAATGGGATGGCTGGGTCAAATGGTATTTCCAGTTCTAGATCCCTGAGGAATCACCACACTGACTTCCACAATGGTTGAACTAGTTTACAGTCCCACCAACAGTGTAAAAGTGTTCCTATTTCTCCACATCCTCTCCAGCACCTGTTGTTTCCTGACTTTTTAATGATTGCCATTCTAACTGGTGTGAGATGGTATCTCATTGTGGTTTTCATTTGCATTTCTCTGATGGCCAGTGATGATGAGCATTTTTTCATGTGTTTTTTGGCTGCATAAATGTCTTGTTTGGAGAAGTGTCTGTTCATATCCTTTGCCCACTTTTTGATGGGGTTGTTTGTTTTTTTCTTGTAAATTTGTTTGAGTTCATTGTAGATTCTGGATATTAGCCCTTTGTCAGATAAGTAGGTTGTGAAAATTTTCTTCCATTCTGTAGGTTGCCTGTTCACTCTGATGGTAGTTTCTTTTGCTGTGCAGAAGCTCTTTAGTTTAATTAGATCCCATTTGTCAATCTTGTCTTTTTTTGCCATTGCTTTTGGTGTTTTAGACATGAAGTCCTTGCCCATGCCTATGTCCTGAATGGTAATGCCTAGGTTTTCTTCCAGGGTTTTTATGGTTTTAGGTCTAACGATTAAGTCTTTAATCCATCTTGAATTGATTTTTGTATAAGGTGTAAGGAAGGGATCCAGTTTCAGCTTTCTACATATGGCTAGCCAGTTTTCCCAGCACCATTTATTAAATAGGGAATCCTTTCCCTATTGCTTGTTTTTGTCAGGTTTGTCAAAGATCAGATAGTTGTAGATATGCGGCGTTATTTCTGAGGGCTTTAGATTTTCTAGTTTATTTGCGTAGAGATGTTTGTAGTATTCTCTGATGGTAGTTTGTATTTCTGTGGGATCAGTGGTGATATGGTGATATCCCCTTTATCACTTTTTATTGTGTCTATTTGATTCTTCTCTCTTTTCTTCATTAGTCTTGCTAGCGGTCTATCAATTTTGTTGATCTTTTCAAAAAACCAGCTCCTGGATTCATTAATTTTTTGAAGGGTTTTTTGTGTCTCTATTTCCTTCAGTTCTGCTCTGATTTTAGTTATTTCTTGCCTTCTGCTAGCTTTTGAATGTGTTTGCCCTTGCTTTTCTAGTTCTTTTAATTGTGATGTTAGGGTGTCAATTTTGGATCTTTCCTGCTTTCTCTTGTGGGCATTTAGTGCTATAAATTTCCCTCTACACACTGCTTTGAATGCGTCCCAGAGATTCTGGTATGTTGTGTCTTTGTTCTCATTGGTTTCAAAGAACATCTTTATTTCTGCCTTCATTTCGTTATGTACCCAGTAGTCATTCAGGAGCAGGTTGTTCAGTTTCCATGTAGTTGAGCGGTTTTGAGTGAGTTTCTGAATCCTGAGTTCTAGTTTGATTGCACTGTGGTCTGAGAGACAGTTTGTTATAATTTCTGTTCTTTTACATTTGCTGAGGAGTGCTTTGCTTTACTTCCAACTATTTGGTCAATTTTGGAATAGGTGTGGTGTGGTGCTGAAAAAAATGTATATTCTGTTGATTTGGGGTGGAGAGTTCTGTAGTTGTCTATTAGGTCCGCTTGGTGCAGAGCTGAGTTCAATTCCTGTGTATCTTTGTTAACTTTCTGTCTCGTTGATCTGTCTAATGTTGACAATGGGGTGTTAAAGTCTCCCATTATTATTGTGTGGGAGTCTAAGTCTCTTTGTAGGTCACTCAGGACTTGCTTTATGAATCTGGGTGCTCCTGTATTGGGTGCATATATATTTAGGATAGTTAGCTCCTCTTGTTGAATTGATCCCTTTACCATTATGTAATGGCCTTCTTTGTCTCTTTTGATCTTGGTTGGTTTAAAGTCTGTTTTATCAGAGACTAGGATTGCAACCCCTGCCTTTTTTTGTTTTCCATTTGCTTGGTAGATCTTCCTCCATCCCTTTATTTTGAGCTTATATGTGTCTCTGCCCGTGAGATGGGTTTCCTGAATACAGCACACTGATGGGTCTTGACTCTATCCAATTTGCCAGTCTTTGTCTTTTAATTGGAGCATTTAGCCCATTTACATTTAAAGTTAATATTGTTATGTGTGAATTTGATCCTGTCATTATGACGTTAGCTGGTTATTTTGCTCGTTAGTTGATGCGGTTTCTTCCTAGCCTTGATGGTCTTTACAATTTGGCATGTTTTTGCAGTGGCTGGTGCCATTTGTTCCTTTCCACGTTTAGTGCTTCCTTCAGGAGCTCTTGTAGGGCAGGCCTGGTGGTGACAAATCTCTCAGCATTTGCTTGTCTGTAAAGTATTTTATTTCTCCTTCACTTATGAAGCCTGGTTTGGCTGGATATGAAATTCTGGGGTGAAAATTCTTTTCTTTAAGAATGTTGAATATTGGCCCCCCCTCTCTTCTCGCTTGTAGAGTTTCTGCCAAGAGATCAGCTGTTAGTCTGATGAGCCTCCCTTTGTGGGTAACCCGACCTTTCTCTCTGGCTGCCCTTAACGTTTTTTCCTTCATTTCAACTTTGGTGAATCTGACAATTCTGTGTCTTGGAGTTGCTCTTCTTGAGGAGTATCTTTGTGGCGTTCTCTGTATTTCCTGAATCTGAATGTTGGCCTGCCTTGCTAGATTGGGGAAGTTCTCCTGGATAATATCCTGCAGAGTGTTTTCCAACTTGGTTCCATTCTCCCCATCACTTTCAGGTACACCAATCAGACGCAGATTTGGTCTTCTCACATAGTCCCATATTTCTTTGAGAGTTTGTTCGTTTCTTTTTATTCTTTTTTCTCTAAACTTCCCTTCTCGCTTCGTTTCATTCATTTCATCTTCCATCACTGATACCCTTTCTTCCAGTTGATCGCGTCGGCTCCTGAGGCTTCTGCATTTTTCACGTAGTTCTCTAGCCTTGGCTTTCAGCTCCATCAGCTCCTTTAAGTACTTCTCTGCATTGGTTATTCTAGTTATACATTTGTCTAATTTTTTTTCAAAGGTTTTAAATTCTTTGCCATTGGTTTGAATTTCTTCCTGTAGCTTGGAGTAGTTTGATCGTCTGAAGCCTTCTTCTCTCAACTCGTGAAAGTCATTCTCCATCCAGCTTTGTTCCAGTGCTGGTGAGGAACTGCATTCCTTTGGAGGAGAGGCACTCTGCTTTTTAGAGTTTCCAGTTTTTCTGCTCTGTTTTTTCCCCATCTTTGTGGTTTTATCTACTTTTGGTCTTTGATGATGGTGACGTACAGATGGGTTTTTGGTGTGGATGTCCTTTCTGTTTGTTAGTTTTCCTTCTAACAGACAGGACCCTCAGCTGCAGGTCTGTTGGAGTTTGCTAGAGGTCCACTCCAGACCCTGTTTGCCTGGGTATCTGCAGCAGTGGCTGTAGAACAGTGGTGGCTGTAGAACAGCAGTGGCTGTGGAACAGTGGCTTTTCGTGAACCGCAATTGCTGCTGCCTGATTGGTCCTTTGGAATTTTTGTCTCAGAGGATTACCGGGCCGTGTGAGGTGTTAGTCTGCCCCTACTGGGGGGTGCCTCCCAGTTAGGCTGCTCGGGGGTCAGAGACCCACTTGAGGAGGCAGTCTTCCGGTTCTCAGATCTCCACCTGCATGCTGGGAGAGCCACTACTCTCTTCAAAGCTGTCAGACAGGGACATTTAAGTCTGCAGAGGTTACTGCTGTCTTTTTGTTTTTCTGTCTGTGCCCTGCCCCCAGAGGTGGAGCCTACAGAGGCAGGCAGGCCTCCTTGAGCTGTGGTGGGTTCCACCCATTTCGAGCTTCCCGGCCGCTTTGTTTACCTAAGCAAGCCTGGGCAATGGCAGGCGCCCCTCCACCAGCCTCGCTGCTGCCTTGCAGTTTGATCTCAGACTGCTGTGCTAGCAATCATCGAGACTCTGTGGGCATAGGACCCTCCGAGCTAGGTGCAGGATATAATCTCCTGGTGCGCCATTTTTTTAAGGCTGTTGGAAAATTGCAGTATTCGGGTGGGAGTGACCCGATTTTCCAGGTGCCATCTGTCACCCCTTTGTTTGACTAGGAAAGGGAACTCCCTGACCCCTTGCGCTTCCCGAGTGAGGCAATGCCTCGCCCTGCTTCGGCTCGCCCACGGTGCGCTGCACCCACTGTCCTGCACCCGCTTTCTGGCACTCCCTAGTAAGATGAACCCGGTATGTCAGATGGAAATGCAGAAATCACCAGTCTTCTGTGTAGCTCACTCTGGGAGCTGTAGACCAGAGCTGTTCCTATCTGGCCATCTTGGCTCCCTCCCTAATATTAAGTTTTTAACTTATTGCTTTAATAGAATTTTAGCAAAAAACAAATTGAAAATATTCAGTCGCAATGACTGGAATTGCCATCATGAACCCAAATTTGAACACCTTAGGCCAATAATAGCATAGCCTCACATTATAATATTTATTATGATTATAGTACCTTTATTTTACAAAAAAAGAGGGGGCTTTCTGTTGTGAATGCATTTTTCAAATCAAAAAGTAGAAGAGTATCCACTGTGTGCATTTGTCCTATAAACTTGTTTTTCCTAAATTTACTGAATTACTATGAATGGTACTGCTATCTTGCTGATCAGTAAACATAAATCAAACATAAATATATGGGTTCATGAAAAGTGCTTAATGCAATACCTACAAAAAGTTAGCTTTCTATAATTTTTTATGATGATAATCATCATCATATTTGGATTCTCTTTTGCATCCACGTAGTGCTACACTTCCCTCCATAATTTCTACCTGCTATCTCTCTTAGCAGTTCCTTTCTACAGCTCTTGCTGTGCCTTAACTCAAGCTTCTGTTGCCTCCTGACTTGACTTGATTGTCATAATAAAGTACAAAGTGATTTCTCACCTCTAGTTTTGCCTGTTTTGTTTTTTCCAAAACCATTTATATCCTTAATATTAGTGACACCATGATTTTTCTAAAATGAAATATATGTTACATTACTGTTTCGGGTCCCTCGATGATTCCTAACAGGAAAGTACAGACCCTTTCATGGTATAAATGGTCCTATGCAATGTGCCCTCCCTTTTCCTATTAAATGTTATATCTTACCCCTCCCATTTCTCAACAGGAGAACTAAAACTTTTACATGCTATGAATGGTTCTGTGCAGTCTATCAATCTGCCTTATGTTTACCTACTAAACATCATCACTCACCACTCATATTCAGTCATATTCTAGACCCCAAAGGTCCAACTTTGAGTTGCTCAAATCTTCCATAAGGTTTCATGGTTGCACACCTCACATGATAGTTGTTACACTTTTTTTTAAGTTTCCATATGCACTATACTTAAATGTTTTTTTTTTTCCCTGCTGTTCTGTTGTAGAAGTAACTAATTTATTCTCTGTGCGCCCTCTAAATTCCCAGTTTACCTGTGTTAGAAACTATGCTATTCTATCTTATACACACACCCCCGACACACACACAAACACACGTTTGTTTATAGACGTTTTGGATGGCAAGCTTTGTTTCGTCAGAACATAGCATGTACTACAGCACCTGGCATACTACCTGGATTATTTTCCAATCTCCATGACAATAATTGGAAACATTTCAGGATTACTTAGTAGTACTAGGACCTCATAAATATTAACACATTGATTAAGACAAGGTATTTTCTGTCATTTAAGAAGTCCAGAATTGTCCAAAGTGTTGTCACTTCGCAGAGTAATTTAATTCTGATCATTCTCTTTGTTACTAGACTTGTGAATTATTCAAGAATTGTGTTTTTCCTTCTTTATGCTGGCTTCCAGAATGTAGACCTCCAATATTTATATGGAAAATACATATGTATTTTGTTTCATAAATTCAATATCCTTATTTTACATTTCCTATTTTACTTCATACTAATTTTGTTACTATATTTTACTTTTTGCCCAGCGTTAGCTTGGAAAATAGAACATGAGGAAAAGCTTATATGCAAAGGGTTTATTGAGAGGTAAAATTCCAGGCCAGAGGAGTTAGTTAGGAAGGAAAAGGAAGTGAGGTTAGAAGACGGGAAAGTAAAAGTATTTGGGAGTGTGATACAAACCTGGCCATGGAGTTAGAAAACACAGCTGGCTGTTTGCCAAAAGCAGTGTCTTCCAGAAAAGACACGTAGAATCACGTTGCTTCAGTATAGTCCATCAGGAGGAGGATGGAAAAGACATTCACTTTCCAGATTCTTAAAGTCTCCGGTCCCTCGTTTTTATTCTCCCCATGGGCGTTAAAGTTCTTGCTTTCCTGGATTTTCTTCCTTTCCCTGTCCAGGCAATTGCTGGAAAAGCTGTATGTCACTCCCTAAGGCTGGATGTCTTCCTCTAGGTCAGAAAGCTTTGGACAGGAACAGAACTTGTGTGTGTTCCTCTGGGTGAGACTTCGGTGTTAGAGTTGCGGTGGCCCACTATGGTGATACCAAGAGGGACTCTGGTTGGTACATTCCACTTCTTACCTCCAAACAAGCTTTAGCAGTAAATAGTGTCAGAAGGGAAAATAAAGGCAGTGGCATGCTATATTCTCCAATAAGCAAAAGGCAGAGGCTTAAAGAGGCAGATAAACTGAGGCTGGTACAGTTCATCCCTTGTGCCTTTCTGCTTGCATCCTCTTATGATATCTGGATCTTATATAAGAACAGGATGGTATCATATCTTCCATAAAAGGGAACATGCAGGTTCAACCTCTTTAAAAATCTTAACAAACTTTAGCAAACTGAAACTATAGTCTGCAATGCAGCAGCTAGCCATGGTGTCAAGATTTCCTTCATCCTTAGCCATCATCTTCCCTCATATGGTTTGCTTGCTTTCTGGAGTGACCTAGATATTAAATTCAAACTCAGAGAAGTATGATTTGTTGTTGTGCCAATATCTATTCACAATTTTCATTGGTCATGGAAATACCATAAGACAGTCTAGTTAATCACTTAGGCTCCAGGTCTATTCTTGTCTTCCCCCATGGTGCAGTTGTAACTGTAGGTATCCCTGGTCAAAGTCACTTTCCCAACTCAGTAAAATAAGTTTGCTCTTGGGCTGCTAGTCTCCTGGCCTACTTTCCTTTAATGTATCAGATTTTTTTTCAGATGCCTGATTAAATATCCAAGATATTATTTCCTAGGAATAAGTGCATATCTTTATCTATGACTGTTTCTCTTTTCATATAAAGTGGATGTTGAAGTGCACCCCTCATAGATCTAGTCACTGGAAGGATTTTTCTTTACCCTTATTCTTAAAAATCACCCTTTAGTGGAACTATAATGAATAACAGATTAACTCCAGTTAGTATCATCATATCATGCTTACATTTCTGTAAACCAGGCCTGAGCATTTTTCTTCACTTTAATTATGTTGTAGGGAAACCCCCATGAGACTACAGGTGTGAAGCAAGATAGAAGCATCAGTGCAAAAGAGGTAAGTGTCAAAGGAATGTAGAACACCTGTTCATAACTTACAAGTTAGCAAGTCTGTTACCCACAGGATGACAACTTTAGTTGCGTAATTACTTGATGTTCCATAGTCAGGTACATAGTTTCATCTAAGGCATAGTAGCTGCAGATTAATATATTCATTTAATAAACATCATTTTAGCTAAACAACACACTTCTAAGTAATTCATAAAGACTATGTTTCAGGTCAGATATAAAAATGCATTGTACTGCATATAAAAGAAAATATATCAATATTTGTGGAACACATCTCAAGTAGTGTTGAGTGAAAAATCTACAGCATTAAATGCATGAAATAGAAAAAGGAAATATTCTAAGTTCGTACTTCAAGTATCTAGAAAAAGAAAAGCAAAATAAATCCAAACCAAGTAGAATTGGAGAAATAATAAAGATACGAGCAGAAATAAATGAAATAGAAAACAGAAAAACAATAGAGAAAACCAATACAACAAAGATCTGGTTCTTTGCAAAACATCAATAAAACTGACAAATATGTAGCACAACAGAGAAAGAAAAAGAGAAACAGAGAAAACAAAGTACAAATATCATGAATGAAACAGGAATATCACTATAATTCCTGCAAACATCAAGAAGATATGAAAAACTCTATGCACATAAATTGGACAAAATAGATGAAATGGGCCCTTTTTTGAAATACACACAAAGTACTAAAACTATTAGCACATACAATTTAACAATATAAAAATGTTATACACCATAGCCAAGTGAAGTTCATTCCAGGGATGCAAAACAAGGTCAATATTTGATAATCAATATAGTCCACCACATTAATTAGCTAATTTTAAAAAACATATCAATTGATGTAGAAAAATCTTCAGTTTGATAAGCAGCACCTACAGAAATCCTACATCTAACATTTTCCTTCAATGGTGAAAGTTTGAAACATTTCCTCCTAAGATCTGTAACAAGGCAAGTATATATGCTCTCAGAATTTTTATTCAATAAGCACTAGAAATTGTAGCTAGTGGATTAAGGCAAGAAAATAAAAATTAAGGGCATGCAGATCAGAAAGGGAAAATGAAAGTGTTTTATTTGCAGATGACATGATTGTCAATGTAAAAATTTAAATTCAATCTAAAAATTCTAGAATTAATCAGTTTAGCAAGGTCACATGACACGAGATAAAATTCAAAAATCAATTATATTCCTATCTACTAGCAACAAACGTGGATACCAAAATTGAAAATACAATATCTTTTATAACTTCTAAAAAAATGACTTACAAGTATATTTAACAATAATTTATAGTAACTGTATCCTGAAAACTAAAAATACTTTATTAAAAAAATCAAAAAAGAAAGAGCTAAGTAAATGAAGAGGAGACATACCATATTTATGGGCTAGAAGGCTCAACATAGCAAGCATGAATTTTTGCCGAGTTAATATACAGGTATAAAAAACTTCTTACCAAAATTCTATATTTTTTGTAGATATAGACAAGATATATAGAATAGCTAAATCAATTTTGAAAAAGAATAATAAAATGGAAGGAATCTGTTTCTCTGGTTTCAAGATTTAACATATAGGTATAGTAATCAGTACTATGTGACTGTGGTAGAAGAATAGTTATATAGATCAACGGAACAGAATAGAGAACCAAGAAACAGACACCCACAAATCTACCCAACTGATTTTTGACAAAGGTGCAAAAGCGATTCAATGAGGAAGGATAACTCTTTCAACAAATAATAGTGAAGCAATTGGACACACAACTCCATAGACCAAAATAATCAAATCTTACACTGTACACAAAAATTAACACATAATAGATCACAAACTTAAGTGTAAAAAGCGAAATTAAGACTCTTAGAAGAATTGGATAAAGAACGTCTTCAGAATGTAGAGTTAGGCAAAGAACTCTTAGATTTTAAACCAAAAGCATGATAGTAACAGGAAAAACTGATACGTTGGAATTCATTGAAATGAAAAATTTTGGTCTGCAAAAAGCTGCCAAGAGGATGAAAAGACAAGCTACAGACCAGGAGAAAGTATTTGAAAACAATATATCTAACAACAAGTATCTAGAATTTATAAAAACTCTCAAACTGAACAATAAAGAAATAAACAATCTGATTAGAAAACGAGCAATCACAGGCAGAGGCATTTCACCAAAAGGCATTTACAAATGGAAAATAAGCACATGAAAAGCTATTCAACATCATTAGCCTTCAGGGAAATGCAAATGTAAATCACAGTAGGTATCACTATACATCTATCAGAATGGCTAAGAGAAAAAAGTGACAACACCAAATGCTGGTGAGGACACAGAGAAACTAGGTCACTCCTAAATTACTTGTAAGAATATAAATGGTTCAATTACTCTAAGAAGCATTTTGAAATTTTTTTAAAAAACCTCACATAGAACTACCATATAACCCAGCAATTGTACTCTTGAGCAATTTTCCATAGAAAAAAAAAAAACTGACATTCATACAAAAACATGTACATGAACGTTTATTAGTTTTATTCAAAATAGTTAAAAACTAGAAAGGACCCAGATGATCTTCAAAGAGTGAATTGTTAAGGAAACTTGGATATCTTTATCATGAAATACTGCTTAGCACCAAAAAGAACAAACTATTGATACACACAATGAGCTCAATGAACCTCCAGAGAATTATGGTGAGTGAAAAACAGTTAATCCCCAAAGGTTTCATACTAAATGATTCCATTTAAAAACTGTTATGGACTTAATATGTTTCTTCAAATTTTGTATGCTTAAATCTTAATTCTAGTACCTCAGAATGTGACTATATTTGGACACAAGGTCTTTAAAGAGATTAGTAAGGTAATAGGTCATTAAGGTGGGTCCTAAGCTAATATGCCTGGTGTCTTTAAAATAAGAGGTGATTAGGACACACACACACACAGTGGCAAGACTATGTGAAGACACCAGGAGAAGATAGGCATCTAACAGTCAAAGAGAAGGCTTCAGGGAAAAAAAAATTCCTGCCAACACCTTGAACTTGGACTTCTAGGCTCTAGAACTATGAGGGCATAAATTTCTCTTGTTTAAGCCACCAAGTCTGTGGTACTTTGTTATGGAAGCCCTAGCCAATGAATACAATAACCATCCTGCAATGAAAAAATTATAGAAATATGGAACATATTAGTGGTTGTCAGGGGTTAAGAAACAGAGTGTAAGGGGATTGGGTGTAATTATAAAAAAGCAAAATGAGGGATCTTTGTGATGATGTAAATGTCCTGTATCTTGACTGTTTCAATATTAATATCCCAGTTGAGATATTGTACTATAATTTGCAAGATATTACCATGGTTGGGGGGACTGTTTAAAGGGTACAAAGGCTTGCTTTGTATTATTTCTTACCATTCCATGTGTCTACAATTATCCCAACATAGGAAGAAGTTAAACTAAATATGAGATATTATGTCAATATTCAGGCAGAAGGGATTTAATAGAGACTGTACAGAATATTTGGGAAAGCAAAATTGTAGAATCTTAAATAACTGATTTGACTATTGATTTCTAGGCTATGTCCAATAGAGCTACAAATCTGAGGTCAGAAAATTGCCACCCCCAATTACTCATCAGGCCCTGGATCAAACCAGTCACTATAGTTATCCCGAAATTTCCCGATCCCTACATTTGTGCTAGCCAGCAACCATATCACCAAGAGACCAAGAGAATGGGCTCCATCACATTTGTGACCTTTTAATCTCAAACCAGTATAACTAATTTGTGAAAGTTAATTTATATACAACGGTCCAGATTAAGGAAATCTTGAAAGTTAGTTTTTAAATTTCCAAATTCTCCACCTAGAAGGCAGTTGGAATGGAAATTTTTAGAGGAAATACATATTACCAACTACACTAATACTTTTCTTTTAGGGCCGTAGTAAGAATTAAATAAAATAATATTTGTGGAAGTGTTTCCTTAACTGCTAGTCAAATGTTAGTTTCACTTCTAATCTTCAGGTCTATGTAGCTTGAAAAATTGCTTCTTCTCCTTTACTCTTAGGTTTCATTAATGGGAAAACTGATGAAGGTTGGATGAGAAGCCCTCTGTCAAATCCATACATCTGTAGTCAGTAAAATATAGACTTTTCAGCCCTTGGCAGTTTTCCCTTCTCTTTCTATGCTATCAGTTGCATACCCACATTACAACTTGTAACTCTTAAATTCATACTTTTCACTCCGACCTTAAGCTTTGAAATTTCATCTTATATATCAGGTATCTTCAACTAAGATGTTCTAAATTTACTTCATAATTAATTTTCTCCAAATTCAAGACATCTTGGGGATGGGAATTAGGGAGATATTGGTCAAAGGACACAAAATTTAAGTTAGACAGGAGGAATAAATTAATGAAATCTATTGTACAATATGGTGACTATGGTTAATATCAATGTATTGTAGTCTTGAAAATTGCTAAGAGAGTAGGTTTTAAGTGTTCTCAGCATAAAAAAATAAGTTGTGGATAGTTCATATGTTAATTAGCTCAAAAAACTCCTACAAATGCAAGACACTTTGAATTCGGGTTATATGTCCAGTTTCATTAAAACATGATTCAATGATTTGCAGAAATATAGACAGTAAAAGAGGTTAAAAATGAAAGTAAGGAGATTTCAAAAATAGATAATGAACTGAAGCAAGTTTATATGCCTCTCAAGATATCTCAGTTTTGCCTGTCTCCAAAATCTTGGACCAACCAAGTGACCTTGTTACTACTTTCTTCACTTTTTCTCCTAACATCTCTTTCTCAGTCTCTTCCAGGGTAAAGGATGGACTTTGGTGTGTTCTCTTTTGTACATGCCTCAGTGAGATGCACAAAGCACAACTTGGTCAGATTCACAGAGGCTCTTGTCTCCTCTAACTCTTCCTGACTCAGGTGAAAAATCACCTCACGCAATCTGGTTTACCCAAGTAAAGGCCTGGGTAACAGAACCTAGAAGCCTGGGAAAGATAATACACTGTAGTGAACCAGAGATAGACAAAAGAATGAACAATTAATCCCTTTCATTTTCGCTGCCTGTGAAACTGTTCAAGATGGGGTGGGCTTATACATCCTGTCCGAAAAATGAGCCTTATGACCTTGAAACTGGCTGTGTTATATTTTTGAAGCTGTGGCCAGTTGGATAATGTATCAATTTGTATTTTCTCTTCTGCTCTGCCTTGCCTCACTTTTTCCTTTCCTTTCATTTCATTTCCTTTTTCCCAGTACTGCATTTCCAAATAAAGCCACTCACAATCTTTAATCAGGCTGTAAATTTTAAGAAATCTGGACCAAGACAGTTTGCTCCAAGAGTATCCCACAAATGCAGATCTTCAGAGTGAGATTTTATTATTGGATTGCTCACCTGTCTGTTGGTAAGTGAGATGACAATAACAAAGTGAAGATGATAATAACTTGACATGCAGTGGTACCACAATTGTTAAACACTGGCCTATGGTTAATTGTGAACAAGGCTTGGGGAAATCAAATGGGTACATCATTTGATCACTGTGGAGACAATGATACTTATGAAGATTGTAATTTCAGATGCCTATTTTAATGACATCAGAGATCTAGCAAAATAAAATAATAGGATCGATGCAGCTGCATAAAAGATGCTGTGAAAGCCAGAGATCTTCTGCAGTTTAAACGAGATTCTAATATGCTGCAGCTGCATAGCAGAAAATGCTTAAACTTAACTCCAGATTATAAGCATAAGGGTGTCATATCCTCAGTAGATATGAAATCGGAAGCATCTCTGATGTCAATGCCAGGATCATAATAGGAAAATTGATTAGAATGGAAATATTTGAGTAGAAGAGCCAAAGACTATGGAATCTCCAAGTTCCTCTTACCCCTCCTGGCTGGCAGAGGCAGTTCCTTACCACTTATCGGAGCCTCCTTTTTGCCAGTAGACCACACAAAGACCTCATTTGAGGTAGATATCAAATAAAATGTTGCTCTTCTTCTCACTCCACCAACACTTATTGTCTCCAGGCTAACCAGAATCAGGTTTCAGCACATCCCATGTAGGCTGAAAGACAATTCTCTAAATGTCAAAGAAAGAGGAAGCCTGGAAAATATGAACTAGCACACACAGATTGAAATGAATGCTCATGGATCCTGAAGGTGTTATAACAAGAGATGAAAATGTGGAAATTAAATAGAAAAAAATTCATCGACAAGAAGGTATTCACCTATGACTTAGGATTGAAATGTTGGCAAAAATATCTGTAACTGGACATAATTTTCTGGAATCGCTTCTTGAAGCCTGGGTATAACAATCTAGAGCAAATGACATAGAGATGATATAAATTCTTTGACATTGTATTGAAGAAAGTCTCAGATTTTAGTAGATGAGTAAATTCAGAATGAATCTACTCTGTAATAACTAAGAAGAATCAATCTTTCTATCTGTAGGTCCAGTAGGTCCAGAAGATACTTAAAAAAAAAATTAAGGTGGTAGGGAATGCCTTGACGAGGGAAGCATCTGAACTTTGAGAATTTCAGTGATGACTGACCTCTGCAGTCCAGAGGCAGGAGGAGGGACTGCCACGGAATTAGGGTATTTAATATCAATAGGGATAATGGGATTCCAGGAAAGCATAGCCCGAAGAGCAGAACATAGCTGTGAGAAGCAAGGAAGGCGTAATTACTTCAGGCAATAATGTTTTTTTCCTACAGGAGATAAGATGATGGTTAATCAATCATGATGTTCCTAGGAGTTTGACAGATAGACATCTGGCAAGGATATCCTTCCATTTGTGTAACAAAATGGTCAAGGTCTGGCAAGAAGAAAGTTAACAG